>NC_000005.10:46624428-46796725 GCF_000001405.40 Homo sapiens
AGCATTCTTAGAAACTGCTTTGTGATGTGTGTGTTCAATTCACAGAGTTGAAACTTTCCTTTGACAGAGCAGGTTTGAAACACTGCTTCTGTAGAATCTGCTTGTGGATATTGGGAGCTCCTTGAGGAATACGTTGTAAAAGGCATATCTTCACATACAAACTAGACAGAAGCATTCTCAGAAACTGCTTTGTGATGTGTGCATTCAACTCACAGAGTTGAACCTTCCATTTGAGAGAGCAGTGTGGAAACGGTCTTTTTGTAGTATCTTCAATTGGATATTTGGAGCGATTTGAGGCCTATGATGGAAAAGGAAATATCTTCACATACAAACTAGACAGAAGCATTCTCAGAAACTGCTTTGTGATGTGTGCATTCAACCCACAGAGTTGAACCTTCCTTTTGAGAGAGCAGTGTTGAAACGGTCTTTTGTAGTATCTGCAAGTGGATATTTGGAGCGATTTGAAGCCTATGATGGAAAAGGAAATATCTTCACATACAAACTAGACAGAAGCAGTCTCAGGAACTGCTTTGTGATGTGTGCATTCAACTCACAGATTTGAACTTTCCTTTTGAGAGGGAGGTTTTGAAACAGTCTTTTTGTAGTATCTGCAAGTGGATATTTGTAGTGACTTGGGGCCTCAGATGGAAAAGGAAATACCTTCACATACAAAGTAGACAGAAGTATTCTCAGAAACTCCATTGTGATGTGTGCACTCAACTCACAGAGTTGAAGCTTCCTTTTGAGAGAGCAGTTTTGAAACAGTCTTTTTGTAATGTCTGCAAGTGGATATTTGGAGCGATTCGAGTACTGTGATGGAAAAGGAAATATCTTCACATACAAACTAAACAGAAGCATTCTCAGAAACGTCTTCTGAAGTGTGCCTTCACCTAACAGAGTGGAACCGTTCTTTTGATAGAGCAGTTTTGAATCAGTCTTTTGGTAGGACCTGCAAGTTTTCATTTGGAGCGCTTTGAAGCCTATGGTGGAAAAGGGAATATCTTCACAAAAAACTAGGCAGAAGCCTTCTCAGGAACTTCATTGAGATGTGTGCATTCAACTAACAGAGTTGAAACTGTCTTTTGACAGAGCAGGAATGAAGCACTCCTTTTGTAGTATCTGATTGTGTATATTTGGAACTCTTTGAGTTATTCGTTGGAAACGGGTATCTTCACATATAAAGTAGACCCAAGCATTCTCAGAAGGTTCTTTGTGATGTGTGCGTTCAACTCACAGACTTGAATCTTTCTTTTGATAGAGCAGTGTTGAAACACACGTTTTGTAGAAACCGCAAGTATTCATTTGGAGCGCTTTGTTGCCTATGTGGGAAAAAGGAATATCTTCACTTAAAAACTAGACAGAAGCATTCTCTGAAACTCCTCTGTGAAGTGTGTGTTCAATTCACATCGTTGAACCTTTCTTTTGATAGAGCAGTGTTGAAACATACTTTTTGTAGAATCTGCAAGTGTCCATTTCGAGTTCTTTTGTGCGTATGTTGGAAAAAGTGATATCTTCACCTGAAAAATAGACAGAAGCATTCCAGAAACTGCTTCGTAACATGTGCATTCACCTCACAGTGTTGCACCTTCCTTTTGAGAGAGCGGTTTTAAAACAGTCTTTTTGTAGTATCTGCAAGTGGATATTTGCAGGGATTTGAGGCCGAAGAAGGAAAAGGAAATACCTTCAAATAAAAAACTAGACGGAAAGCATTTTCAGAAACTGCCTTGTGATGTGTGCATTCAACTCACAGAGTTGAACCTTCCTTTTGAGAGAGAAGTTTTGAAACAGTCTTTTTGTAGTATTTGCAAGTGGATATTTGGAGCGATTTGTGGAGTATGGTGGAAAATGAAATACCTTCACATACAAAGTAGACAGAAGCATTCTCAGAAACTGCTTTGTGATGTGTGCATTTAAGTCACAGACTTGAAACTTCCTTTAGGTAGAGCAGTGTTGAAACACACTTTTTGTATAATCTACAAGTGTTCTTTGGAGTGCTTTGTTGCCTATGTTGGAAAAAGAAATATCTTCACATAAAAACTAGACAGAAGCATTCTCAGAAACTCCTTTGTGATGGGTTTGTTCAATTCACATTGTTGAACCTTTCTTTTGATACAGCAGGGTTGAAACAAACATTTTGTAGAATCTGCAAGGGTTCATTTCAAATGCTTTGTGGCCTATGTTGGAAAAAGTGATATCTTCACCTAAAAAATAGACAGAAGCATTCTCAGGAACTGCTTTGTAATATGTGCATTCAACTCACAGAGTTGAACCTTCCTTTTGAGAGAGCGGTTTTGAAACAGTCTTTTTGTAGTATCTGCAAGTGGATATTTGGAGAGATTTGAGGTCTAAGAAGGAAAAGGAAGTACCTTCAAATTAAAACTAGACAGAAGCTTTCTCAGAAACTGCTTTGTGATGTGTGCATTTAACTCAAAGTCTTGATCCTTACTTTTGTTAGAGCAGTGTTGAAACACACTTTTTGTAGAACCTGGTAGTGTTCATTTGGAGAGATTTGTTGCCTATGGTGGAAAAAGGATTATCTTCTCTTAAAAACTAGACAGAAGCATTCTTAGAAACTGCTTTGTGATGTGTGTGTTCAATTCACAGAGTTGAAACTTTCCTTTGACAGAGCAGGTTTGAAACACTGCTTCTGTAGAATCTGCTTGTGGATATTGGGAGCTCCTTGAGGAATACGTTGTAAAAGGCATATCTTCACATACAAACTAGACAGAAGCATTCTCAGAAACTGCTTTGTGATGTGTGCATTCAACTCACAGAGTTGAACCTTCCATTTGAGAGAGCAGTGTTGAAACGGTCTTTTGTAGTATCTGCAAGTGGATATTTGGAGCGATTTGAGGCCTATGATGGAAAAGGAAATATCTTCACATACAAACTAGACAGAAGCATTCTCAGAAACTGCTTTGTGATGTGTGCATTCAACCGACAGATTTGAACTTTCCTTTTGAGAGGGAGGTTTTGAAACAGTCTTTTAGTAGTATCTGCAAGTGGATATTTGTAGTGACTTGGGACCTCAGGTGGAAAAGGAAATACCTTCACATACAAAGTAGACAGAAGTATTCTCAGAAACTCCATTGTGAAGTGTGCACTCAACTCACAGAGTTGAACCTTCCTTTTGAGAGAGCAGTTTTGAAACAGTCTTTTTGTAATGTCTGCAAGTGGATATTTGGAGCGATTCGAGTACTATGATGGAAAAGGAAATATCTTCACATACAAACTAAACAGAAGCATTCTCAGAAACGTCTTCTGATGTGTGCGTTCACCTAACAGAGTGGAACCGTTCTTTTGATAGAGCAGTTTTGAATCAGTCTTTTGGTAGGTCCTGCAAGTTTTCATTTGGAGCGCTTTGAAGCCTATGGTGGAAAAGGGAATATCTTCGCAAAAAACTAGGCAGAAGCCTTCTCAGGATCTTCATTGAGATGTGTGCATTCAACTAACAGAGTTGAAACTGTCTTTTGACAGAGCAGGAATGAAACACTCCTTTTGTAGTATCTGATTGTGTATATTTGGAACTCTTTGAGTTATTCGTTGGAAACGGGTATCTTCACATAAAAAGTATACCCAAGCATTCTCAGAAGGTTCTTTGTGATGTGGGCGTTCAACTCACAGACTTGAAACTTTCTTTTGATAGAGCAGTGTTGAAACACACTTTTTGTAGAACCTGCTAGTGTTCCTTTGGAGAGATTTGTTGCCTATGGTGGAAAAAGGATTATCTTCTCTTAAAAACTAGAGAGAAGCATTCTTAGAAACTGCTTTGTGATGTGTGTGTTCAATTCACCGAGTTGAAACTTTCCTTTGATAGAGCAGGTTTGAAACACTGCTTTTGTAGATTCTGCTTGTGGATATTGGGAGCTCTTTGAGGAATACGTTGTAAAAGGCATATCTTCACATACAAACTAGACAGAAGCATTCTCAGAAACTCCGTTGTGATGTGTGCATTCAACTCACAGAGTTGAACCTTCCATTTGAGAGAGCAGTGTTGAAACAGTCTTTTTGTAGTATCTGCAAGTGGATATTTGGAGCGATTTGAGGCCTATGATGGAAAAGGAAATATCTTCACATACAAACTAGACAGAAGCATTCTCAGAAACTGCTTTGTGATGTGTGCATTCAACCCACAGAGTTGAACCTTCCTTTTGAGAGAGCAGTGTTGAAACGGTCTTTTGTAGTATCTGCAAGTGGATATTTGGAGCGATTTGAGGCCTATGATGGAAAAGGAAATATCTTCACATACAAACTAGACAGAAGCATTCTCAGAAACTGCTTTGTGATGTGTGCATTCAACCGACAGATTTGAACTTTCCTCTTGAGAGGGAGGTTTTGAAACAGTCTTTTCGTAGTATCTGCAAGTGGATATTTGTAGTGACTTGGGGCCTCAGATGGAAAAGGAAATACCTTCACATGCAAACTAGACAGAAGTATTCTCAGAAACTCCATTGTGATGTGTGCACTCAACTCACAGAGTTGAACCTTCCTTTTGAGAGCAGCAGTTTTGAAACAGTCTTTTTGTAATGTCTGCAGGTGGATATTTGGAGCGATTCGAGTACTATGATGGAAAAGGAAATATCTTCACATACAAACTAAACAGAAGCATTCTCAGAAACTTCTTGTGATGTGTGCATTCACCTAACAGAGTGGAACCGTTCTTTTGATAGAGCAGTTTTGAATCAGTCTTTTGGTAGGACCTGCAAGTATTCATTTGGAGCGCTTTGAAGCCCATGGTGGAAAAGGGACTATCTTCACAAAAAACTAGGCAGAAGCCTTCTCAGGAACTTCATTGAGATGTGTGCATTCAACTAACAGAGTTGAAACTGTCTTTTGACAGAGGAGGAATGAAACACTCCTTTTGTAGTATCTGATTGTGTATATTTGGAACTCTTTGAGTTATTCGTTGGAAACGGGTATCTTCACATAAAAAGTAGACCCAAGCATTCTCAGAAGGTCCTTTGTGATGTGTGCGTTCAACTCACAGACTTGAAACTTTCTTTTGATAGAGCAGTGTTGAAACACAGTTTTTGTAGAATCCACAAGTATTCATTTGGAGCGCTTTGTTGCCTATGTGGGAAAAAGGAATATCTTCACTTAAAAACTAGACAGAAGCATTCTCTGAAACTCCTCTGTGAAGTGTGTGTTCAATTCACATCGTTGAACCTTTCTTTTGATGGAGCAGTGTTGAAACATACTTTTTGTAGAATCTGCAAGTGCCCATTTTGAGTTCTTTTGTGCGTATGTTGGAAAAAGTGATTTCTTCACCTGAAAAATAGACAGAAGCATTCCATAAACTGCTTTGTAACATGTGCATTCAACTCACAGTGTTGAACCTTCCTTTTGAGAGAGCGGTTTTGAAACAGTCTTTTTGAAGTATCTGCAAGTGGATATTTGCAGTGATTTGAGGCCGAAGGAGGAAAAGGAAATACCTTGAAATAAAAAACTAGACGGAAGCATTTTCAGAAACTGCCTTGTGATGTGTGCATTCAACTCACAGAGTTGAACCTTCCTTTTGAGAGAGAAGTTTTGAAACAGTCTTTTTGTAGTATTTGCAAGTGGATATTTGGAGCGATTTGTGGAGTATGGTGGAAAATGAAATATCTTCACATACAAACTAGACAGAAGCATTCTCAGAAACTGCTTTGTGATGTGTGCACTTAAGTCACAGACTTGAAACTTCCTTTAGGTAGAGCAGTGTTGAAACACACTTTTTGTATAATCTACAAGTGTTCTTTGGAGTGCTTTGTTGCCTATGTTGGAAAAAGAAATATCTTCACATAAAAACTAGACAGAAGCATTCTCAGAAACTCCTTTGTGATGGGTTTGTTCAATTCACATTGTTGAACCTTTCTTTTGATACAGCAGTGTTGAAACAAACATTTTGTAGAATCTGCAAGGGTTCATTTCAAATGCTTTGCGGCCTATGTTGGAAAAAGTGATATCTTCACCTAAAAAATAGACAGAGGCATTCTCAGGAACTGCTTTGTAATATGTGCATTCAACTCACAGAGTTGAACCTTCCTTTTGAGAGAGCGGTTTTGAAACAGTCTTTTTGTAGTATGTGCAAGTGGATATTTGGAGCGATTTGAGGTCTAAGAAGGAAAAGGAAGTACCTTCAAATAAAAACTAGACAGAAGCTTTCTCAGAAACTGCTTTGTGATGTGTGCATTTAACTCAAATTCTTGATCCTTACTTTTGTTAGAGCAGTGTTGAAACACACTTTTTGTAGAACCTGGTAGTGTTCATTTGGAGAGATTTGTTGCCTATGGTGGAAAAAGGATTATCTTCTCTTAAAAACTAGACAGAAGCATTCTTAGAAACTGCTTTGTGATGTGTGTGTTCAATTCACAGAGTTGAAACTTTCCTTTGATAGAGCAGTTTTGAAACACTGCTTTTGTAGAATCTGCTTGTGGATATTGGGAGCTCTTTGAGGAATACGTTGTAAAAGGCATATCTTCACATACAAACTAGACAGAAGCATTCTCAGAAACTGCTTTGTGATGTGTGCATTCAATTCACAGAGTTGAACCTTCCATTTGAGAGAGCAGTGTTGAAACAGTCTTTTTGTAGTATCTGCAAGTGGATATTTGGAGCGATTTGAGGCCTATGATGGAAAAGGAAACATCTTCACATACAAACTAGACAGAAGCATTCTCAGAAACTGCTTCGTGATGTGTGCATTCAACTCACAGAGTTGAACCTTCCTTGTGAGAGAGCAGTGTTGAAACGGTCTTTTGTAGTATCTGCAAGTGGATATTTGGAGCGATTTGAGGCCTAGGATGGAAAAGGAAATATCTTCACATACAAACTAGACAGAAGCATTCTCAGAAACTGCTTTGTGATGTGTGCATTCAACCGACAGATTTGAACTTTCCTTTGGAGAGGGAGGTTTTGAAACAGTCTTTTTGTAGTATCTGCAAGTGGATATTTGTAGTGACTTGGGGCCTCAGGTGGAAAAGGAAATACCTTCACATACAAAGTAGACAGAAGTATTCTCAGAAACTCCCTTGTGATGTGTGCACTCAACTCACAGAGTTGAACCTTCCATTTGAGAGAGCAGTTTTGAAACAGTCTTTTTGTAATGTCTGCAGTTGGATATTTGGAGCGATTCGTGTAGTATGATTGAAAAGGAAATATCTTCACATACAAACTAAACAGAAGCATTCTCAGAAACTTCTTGTGATGTGTGCATTCACCTAACACAGTGGAACCGTCCTTTTGATAGAGCAGTTTTGAATCAGTCTTTTGGTAGGACCTGCAAGTTTTCATTTGGAGCGCTTTGAAGCCCATGGTGGAAAAGGGACTATCTTCACAAAAAACTAGGCAGAAGCCTTCTCAGGAACTTCATTGAGACGTGTGCATTCAACTAACAGAATTGAAACTGTCTTTTGACAGAGCAGGAATGAAACACTCCTTTTGTAGTATCTGATTGTGTATATTTGGAACTCTTTGAGTTATTCGTTGGAAACGGGTATCTTCACATAAAAAGTAGACCCAAGCATTCTCAGAAGGTTCTTTGTGATGTGTGCGTTCAACTCACAGACTTGAAACTTTCTTTTGATAGAGCAGTGTTGAAACACACTTTTTGTAGAATCCACAAGTATTCATTTGGAGCGCTTTGTTGCCTATGTGGGAAAAAGTAATATCTTCACTTAAAAACTAGAAACAAGCATTCTCTGAAACTCCTCTGTGAAGTGTGTGTTCAAATCACATCGTTGAACCTTTCTTTTGATAGAGCAGTGTTGAAACATACTTTTTGTAGAATCTGCAAGTGTCCATTTCGAGTTCTTTTGTGCGTATGTTGGAAAAAGTGATATCTTCACCTGAAAAATAGACAGAAGCATTCCAGAAACTGCTTTGTAACATGTGCATTCAACTCACAGTGTTGAACCTTCCTTTTGAGAGAGCGGTTTTGAAACAGTCTTTTTGTAGTATCTGCAAGTGGATATTTGCAGTGATTTGAGGCCGAAGAAGGAAAAGGAAATACCTTCAAATAAAAAACTAGACGGAAGCATTTTCAGAAACTGCCTTGTGATGTGTGCATTCAACTCACAGAGTTGAACCTTCCTTTTGAGAGAGAAGTTTTGAAACAGTCTTTTTGTAGTATTTGCAAGTGGATATTTGGAGCAATTTGTGGAGTATGGTGGAAAATGAAATACCTTCACATACAAAGTAGACAGAAGCATTCGCAGAAACTGCTTTGTGATGTGTGCATTTAAGTCACAGACTTGAAACTTCCTTTAGGTAGAGCAGTGTTGAAACACACTTTTTGTATAATCTACAAGTGTTCTTTGGAGTGCTTTGTTGCCTATGTTGGAAAAAGAAATATCTTCACATAAAAACTAGACAGAAGCATTCTCAGAAACTCCTTTGTGATGGGTGTGTTCAATTCACATTGTTGAACCTTTCTTTTGATACAGCAGTGTTGAAACAAACATTTTGTAGAATCTGCAAGTGTTCATTTCAAATGCTTTGTGGCCTATGTTGGAAAAAGTGATATGTTCTCCTAAAAAATAGACAGAGGCATTCTCAGGAACTGCTTTGTAATATGTGCATTCAACTCACAGAGTTGAACCTTCCTTTTGAGAGAGCGGTTTTGAAACAGTCTTTTTGTAGTATGTGCAAGTGGATATTTGGAGCGATTTGAGGTCTAAGAAGGAAAAGGAAGTACCTTCAAATAAAAACTAGACAGAAGCTTTCTCAGAAACTGCTTTGTGATGTGTGCATTTAACTCAAAGTCTTGATCCTTACTTTTGTTAGAGCAGTGTTGAAACACACTTTTTGTAGAACCTGGTAGTGTTCATTTGGAGAGATTTTTTGCCTATGGTGGAAAAAGGATTATCTTCTCTTTAAAACTAGACAGAAGCATTCTTAGAAACTGCTTTGTGATGTGTGTGTTCAATTCACAGAGTTGAAACTTTCCTTTGACAGAGCAGGTTTGAAACACTGATTCTGTAGAATCTGCTTGTGGATATTGGGAGCTCCTTGACGAATACGTTTTAAAAGGCATATCTTCACATACAAACTAGACAGAAGCATTCTCAGAAAGTGCTTTGTGATGTGTGCATTCAACTCACAGAGTTGAACCTTCCATTTGAGAGAGCAGTGTTGAAACAGTCTTTTTGTAGTATCTTCAAGTGGATATTTGGAGCGATTTGAGGCCTATGATGGAAAAGGAAATATCTTCACATACAAACTAGACAGAAGCATTCTCAGAAACTGCTTTGTGATGTGTGCATTCAACCGACAGATTTGAACTTTCCTTTTGAGAGGGAGGTTTTGAAACAGTCTTTTTGTAGTATCTGCAAGTGGATATTTGTAGTGACTTGGGGCCTCAGGTAGAAAAGGAAATACCTTCACATACAAAGTAGACAGAAGTATTCTCAGAAACTCCATTGTGATGTGTGCACTCAACTCACAGAGTTGAACCTTCCTTTTGAGAGAGCAGTTTTGAAACAGTCTTTTTGTAACGTCTGCAGGTGGATATTTGGAGCGATTCGTGTAGTATGATGGAAAAGGAAATATCTTCACATACAAACGAAACAGAAGCATTCTCAGAAACTTCTTGTGATGTGTGCATTCACCTAACAGAGTGGAACCGTTCTTTTGATAGAGCAGTTTTGAATCAGTCTTTTGGTAGGACCTGCAAGTTTTCATTTGGAGCGCTTTGAAGCCCATGGTGGAAAAGGGACTATCATCTTCACAAAAAACTAGGCAGAAGCCTTCTCACGAACTTCATTGAGATGTGTGCATTCAACTAACAGAGTTGAAACTGTCTTTTGACAGAGGAGGAATGAAACACTCCTTTTGTAGTATCTGATTGTGTGTATTTGGAACTCTTTGAGTTATTCGTTGGAAACGGGTATCTTCACATAAAAAGTAGACCCAAGCATTCTCAGAAGGTTCTTTGTGATGTGTGCGTTCAACTCACAGACTTGAAACTTTCTTTTGATAGAGCAGTGTTGAAACACACTTTTTGTAGAATCCACAAGTATTCATTTGGAGCACTTTGTTGCCTATGTGGGAAAAAGGAATATCTTCACTTAAAAACTAGACAGAAGCATTCTCTGAAACTCCTCTGTGAAGTGTGTGTTCAATTCACATCGTTGAACCTTTCTTTTGATGGAGTAGAGTTGAAACATACTTTTTGTAGAATCTGCAAGTGTCCATTTCGAGTTCTTTTGTGCATATGTTGGAAAAAGTGATATCTTCACCTGAAAAATAGACAGAAGCATTCCAGAAACTGCTTTGTAACATATGCATTCAACTCACAGTGTTGAACCTTCCTTTTGAGAGAGCGGTTTTGAAACAGTCTTTTTGTAGTATCTGCAAGTGGATATTTGCAGTGATTTGAGGCCGAAGAAGGAAAAGGAAATACCTTCAAATAAAAAACTAGACGGAAGCATTTTCAGAAACTGCCTTGTGATGTGTGCATTCAACTCACAGAGTTGAACCTTCCTTTTGAGAGAGAAGTTTTGAAACAGTCTTTTTGTAGTATTTGCAAGTGGATATTTGGAGCGATTTGTGGAGTATGGTGGAAAATGAAATACCTTCACATACAAAGTAGACAGAAGCATTCTCAGAAACTGCTTTGTGATGTGTGCATTTAAGTCACAGACTTGAAACTTCCTTTAGGTAGAGCAGTGTTGAAACACACTTTTTGTATAATCTACAAGTGTTCTTTGGAGTGCTTTGTTGCCTATGTTGGAAAAAGAAATATCTTCAAATAAAAACTAGACAGAAGCATTCTCAGAAACTCCTTTGTGATGGGTTTGTTCAATTCACATTGTTGAACCTTTCTTTTGATACAGCAGGGTTGAAACAAACATTTTGTAGAATCTGCAAGTGTTCATTTCAAATGCTTTGTGGCCTATGTTGGAAAAAGTGATATCTTCACCTAAAAAATAGACAGAAGCATTCTCAGGGACTGCTTTGTAATATGTGCATTCAACTCACAGAGTTGAACCTTCCTTTTGAGAGAGCGGTTTTGAAACAGTCTTTTTGTAGTATCTGCAAGTGGATATTTGGAGCGATTTGAGGTCTAAGAAGGAAAAGGAAGTACCTTCAAATAAAAACTAGACAGAAGCTTTCTCAGAAACTGCTTTGTGATGTGTGCATTTAACTCAAAGTCTTGATCCTTTCTTTTGTTAGAGCAGTGTTGAAACACACTTTTTGTAGAACCTGGTAGTGTTCATTTGGAGAGATTTGTTGCCTATGGTGGAAAAAGGATTATCTTCTCTTAAAAACTAGACAGAAGCATTCTTAGAAACTGCTTTGTGATGTGTGTGTTCAATTCACAGAGTTGAAACTTTCCTTTGACAGAGCAGGTTTGAAACACTGCTTCTGTAGAATCTGCTTGTGGATATTGGGAGCTCCTTGAGGAATACATTGTAAAAGGCATATCCTCACATACAAACTAAACAGAAGCATTCTCAGAAACTGCTTTGTGATGTGTGCATTCAACTCACAGAGTTGAACCTTCCATTTGAGAGAGCAGTGTTGAAACGATCTTTTTGTAGTATCTTCAATTGGATATTTGGAGCGATTTGAGGCCTATGATGGAAAAGGAAATATCTTCACATACAAACTAGACAGAAGTATTCTCAGAAACTGCTTCGTGATGTGTGCATTCAACCCACAGAGTTGAACCTTCCTTTTGAGAGAGCAGTGTTGAAATGGTCTTTTGTAGTATCTGCAAGTGGATATTTTGAGCGATTTGAGGCCTAGGATGGAAAAGGAAATATCTTCACATACAAACTAGACAGAAGCATTCTCAGAAACTGCTTTGTGATGTGTGCATTCAACCGACAGATTTGAACTTTCCTTTTGAGAGGGAGGTTTTGAAACAGTCTTTTTGTAGTATCTGCAAGTGGATATTTGTGGTGACTTGGGGCCTCAGATGGAAAAGGAAATACCTTCACATACAAACTAGACAGAAGTATTCTCAGAAACTCCATTGTGATGTGTGACCTCAACTCACAGAGTTGAACCTTCCTTTTGAGAGAGCAGTTTTGAAACAGTCTTTTTGTAATGTCTGCAGGTGGATATTTGGAGCGATTCGAGTACTATGATGGAAAAGGAAATATCTTCACATACAAACTAAACAGAAGCATTCTCAGAAACTTGTTGTGATGTGTGCATTCACCTAAAAGAGTGGAACCGTTCTTTTGATAGAGCAGTTTTGAATCAGTCTTTTGGTAGGACCTGCAAGTTTTCATTTGGAGCGCTTTGACGCCCATGGTGGAAAAGGGACTATCTTCACAAAAAACTAGGCAGAAGCCTTCTCAGGAACTTCATTGAGATGTGTGCATTCAACTAACAGAGTTGAAACTGTCTTTTGACAGAGGAGGAATGAAACACTCCTTTTGTAGTATCTGATTGTGTATATTTGGAACTCTTTGAGTTATTCGTTGGAAACGGGTATCTTCACATAAAAAGTAGACCCAGGCATTCTCAGAAGGTTCTTTGTGATGTGTGCGTTCAACTCACAGACTTGAAACTTTCTTTTGATAGAGCAGTGTTGAAACACACTTTTTGTAGAATCCACAAGTATTCATTTGGAGCGCTTTGTTGCCTATGTGGGAAAAAGTAATATCTTCACTTAAAAGCTAGACAGAAGCATTCTCTGAAACTCCTCTGTGAAGTGTGTGTTCAATTCACATCGTTGAACCTTTCTTTTGATGGAGCAGTGTTGAAACATACTTTTTGTAGAATCTGCAAGTGTCCATTTCGAGTTCTTTTGTGCGTATGTTGGAAAAAGTGATATCTTCACCTGAAAAATAGACAGAAGCATTCCAGAAACTGCTTTGTAACATGTGCATTCAACTCACAGTGTTGAACCTTCCTTTTGAGAGAGCGGTTTTGAAACAGTCTTTTTGTAGTATCTGCAAGTGGATATTTGCAGTGATTTGAGGCCGAAGAAGGAAAAGGAAATACCTTCAAATAAAAAGCTAGACGGAAGCATTTTCAGAAACTGCCTTGTGATGTGTGCATTCAACTCACAGAGTTGAACCTTCCTTTTGAGAGAGAAGTTTTGAAACAGTCTTTTTGTAGTATTTGCAAGTGGATATTTGGAGCGATTTGTGGAATATGGTGGAAAATGAAATATCTTCACATACAAACTAGACAGAAGCATTCTCAGAAACTGGTTTGTGATGTGTGCATTTAAGTCACGGACTTGAAACTTCCTTTAGATAGAGCAGTGTTGAAACACACTTTTTGTATAATCTACAAGTGTTCTTTGGAGTGCTTTGTTGCCTATGTTGGAAAAAGAAATATCTTCACATAAAAACTAGACAGAAGCATTCTCAGAAACTCCTTTGTGATGGGTCTGTTCAATTCACATTGTTGAACCTTTCTTTTGATACAGCAGTGTTGAAACAAACATTTTGTAGAATCTGCAAGTGTTCATTTCAAATGCTTTGCGGCCTATGTTGGAAAAAGAGATATCTTCACCTAAAAAATAGACAGAAGCATTCTCAGGAACTGCTTTGTAATATGTGCATTCAACTCACAGAGTTGAACCTTCCTTTTGAGAGAGCGGTTTTGAAACAGTCTTTTTGTAGTATCTGCAAGTGGATATTTGGAGCGATTTGAGGTCTAAGAAGGAAAAGGAAGTACCTTCAAATAAAAACTAGACAGAAGCTTTCTCAGAAACTGCTTTGTGATGTGTGCATTTAACTCAAAGTCTTGATCCTTACTTTTGTTAGAGCAGTGTTGAAACACACTTTTTGTAGAACCTGGTAGTGTTCATTTGGAGAGATTTGTTGCCTATGGTGGAAAAATGATTATCTTCTCTTAAAAACTAGACAGAAGCATTCTTAGAAACTGCTTTGTGATGTGTGTGTTCAATTCACAGAGTTGAAACTTTCCTTTGACAGAGCAGGTTTGAAACACTGCTTCTGTAGAATCTGCTTGTGGATATTGGGAGCTCCTTGAGGAATACGTTGTAAAAGGCATATCTTCACATACAAACTAGACAGAAGCATTCTCAGAAACTGCTTTGTGATGTGTGCATTCAACTCACAGAGTTGAACCTTCCATTTCAGAGAGCAGTGTTGAAACGGTCTTTTTGTAGTATCTTCAATTGGATATTTGGAGCGATTTGAGGCCTATGATGGAAAAGGAAATATCTTCACATACAAACTAGACAGAAGCATTCTCAGAAACTGCTTTGTGATGTGTGCATTCAACCCACAGAGTTGAACCTTCCTTTTGAGAGAGCAGTGTTGAAACGGTCTTTTGTAGTATCTGCAAGTGGATATTTGGAGCGATTTGAGGCCTATGATGGAAAAGGAAATATCTTCACATACAAACTAGACAGAAGCATTCTCAGAAACTGCTTTGTGATGTGTGCATTCAACCGACAGATTTGAACTTTCCTTTTGAGAGGGAGGTTTTGAAACAGTCTTTTTGTAGTATCTGCAAGTGGATATTTGTAGTGACTTGGGGCCTCAGGTAGAAAAGGAAATACCTTCACATACAAAGTAGACAGAAGTATTCTCAGAAACTCCATTGTGATGTGTGCACTCAACTCACAGAGTTGAACCTTCCTTTTGAGAGAGCAGTTTTGAAACAGTCTTTTTGTAACGTCTGCAGGTGGATATTTGGAGCGATTCGTGTAGTATGATGGAAAAGGAAATATCTTCACATACAAACGAAACAGAAGCATTCTCAGAAACTTCTTGTGATGTGTGCGTTCACCTAACAGGAGTGGAACCGTTCTTTTGATAGAGCAGTTTTGAATCAGTCTTTTGGTAGGACCTGCAAGTTTTCATTTGGAGCGCTTTGAAGCCCATGGTGGAAAAGGGAATATCTTCACAAAAAACTAGGCAGAAGCCTTCTCAGGAACTTCATTGAGATGTGTGCATTCAACTAACAGAGTTGAAACTGTCTTTTGACAGAGGAGGAATGAAACACTCCTTTTGTAGTATCTGATTGTGTATATTTGGAACTCTTTGAGTTATTCGTTGGAAACGGGTATCTTCACATAAAAAGTAGACCCAAGTATTCTCAGAAACTCCATTGTGATGTGTGCACTCAACTCACAGGAGTTGAACCTTCCTTTTGAGAGAGCAGTTTTGAAACAGTCTTTTTGTAACGTCTGCAGGTGGATATTTGGAGCGATTCGTGTAGTATGATGGAAAAGGAAATATCTTCACATACAAACTAAACAGAAGCATTCTCAGAAACTTCTTGTGATGTGTGCATTCACCTAACAGAGTGGAACCGTTCTTTTGATAGAGCATTGTTGAAACATACTTTTTGTAGAATCTGCAAGTGTCCATTTCGAGTTCTTTTGTGCGTATGTTGGAAAAAGTGATATCTTCACCTGAAAAATAGACAGAAGCATTCCAGAAACTGCTTTGTAACATGTGCATTCAACTCACAGTGTTGAACCTTCCTTTTGAGAGAGCGGTTTTGAAACAGTCTTTTTGTAGTATTTGCAAGTGGATATTTGCAGTGATTTGAGGCCGAAGAAGGAAAAGGAAATACCTTCAAATAAAAAACTAGACGGAAAGCATTTTCAGAAACTGCCTTGTGATGTGTGCATTCAACTCACAGAGTTGAACCTTCCTTTTGAGAGAGAAGTTTTGAAACAGTCTTTTTGTAGTATTTGCAAGTGGATATTTGGAGCGATTTGTGGAGTATGGTGGAAAATGAAATACCTTCACATACAAAGTAGACAGAAGCATTCTCAGAAACTGCTTTGTGATGTGTGCATTTAAGTCACAGACTTGAAACTTCCTTTAGGTAGAGCAGTGTTGAAACACACTTTTTGTATAATCTACAAGTGTTCTTTGGAGTGCTTTGTTGCCTATGTTGGAAAAAGAAATATCTTCACATAAAAACTAGACAGAAGCATTCTCAGAAACTCCTTTGTGATGGGTTTGTTCAGTTCACATTGTTGAACCTTTCTTTTGATACAGCAGTGTTGAAACAAACATTTTATAGAATCTGCAAGTGCTCATTTCAAATGCTTTGTGGCCTATGTTGGAAAAAGTGATATGTTCACCTAGAAAATAGACAGAAGCATTCTCAGGAACTGCTTTGTAATATGTGCATTCAACTCACAGAGTTGAACCTTCCTTTTGAGAGAGCGGTTTTGAAACAGTCTTTTTGTAGTATCTGCAAGTGGATATTTGGAGCGATTTGAGGTCTAAGAAGGAAAAGGAAGTACCTTCAAATAAAAACTAGACAGAAGCTTTCTCAGAAACTGCTTTGTGATGTGTGCATTTAACTCAAAGTCTTGATCCTTACTTTTGTTAGAGCAGTGTTGAAACACACTTTTTGTAGAACCTGGTAGTGTTCATTTGGAGAGATTTGTTGCCTATGGTGGAAAAAGGATTATCTTCTCTTAAAAACTAGACAGAAGCATTCTTAGAAACTGCTTTGTGATGTGTGTGTTCAATTCACAGAGTTGAAACTTTCCTTTGATAGAGCAGTTTTGAAACACTGCTTTTGTAGAATCTGCTTGTGGATATTGGGAGCTCTTTGAGGAATACGTTGTAAAAGGCATATCTTCACATACAAACTAGACAGAAGTATTCTCAGAAACTCCGTTGTGATGTGTGCATTCAACTCACAGAGTTGAACCTTCCATTTGAGAGAGCAGTGTTGAAACAGTCTTTTTGTAGTATCTGCAAGTGGATATTTGGAGCGATTTGAGGCCTATGATGGAAAAGGAAATATCTTCACATACAAACTAGACAGAAACATTCTCAGAAACTGCTTTGAGATGTGTGCATTCAACCCACAGAGTTGAACCTTCCTTTTCAGAGAGCAGTGTTGAAACGGTCTTTTGTAGTATCTGCAAGTGGATATTTGGAGCGATTTGAGGCCTATGATGGAAAAGGAAATAACTTCACATACAAAATTGACAGAAGCATTCTCAGAAACTGCTTTGTGATGTGTGCATTCAACCGACAGATTTGAACTTTCCTTTTGAGAGGGAGGTATTGAAACAGTCATTTTGTAGTATCTGCAAGTGGATATTTGTAGTGACTTCGGGCCTCAGATGGAAAAGGAAATACCTTCACATACAAACTAGACAGAAGTATTCTCAGAAACTCCCTTGTGATGTGTGCACTCAACTCACAGAGTTGAACCTTCCATTTGAGAGAGCAGTTTTGAAACAGTCTTTTTGTAATGTCTGCAGTTGGATATTTGGAGCGATTCGTGTAGTATGATTGAAAAGGAAATATCTTCACATACAAACTAAACAGAAGCATTCTCAGAAACTTCTTGTGATGTGTGCATTCACCTAACAGAGTGGAACCGTTCTTTTGATAGAGCAGTTTTGAATCAGTCTTTTTGTAGGACCTGCAAGTTTTCATTTGGAGCGCTGTGAAGCCTATGGTGGAAAAGGGAATATCTTCACAAAAAACTAGGCAGAAGCCTTCTCAGGAACTCAACTGAGATGTGTGCATTCAACTAACAGAGTTGAAACTGTCTTTTGACAGAGCAGGAATGAAACACTCCTTTTGTAGTATCTGATTGTGTATATTTGGAACTCTTTGAGTTATTCGTTGGAAACGGGTATCTTCACATAAAAAGTAGACCCAAGCATTCTCAGAAGGTTCTTTGTGATGTGGGCGTTCAACTCACAGACTTGAAACTTTCTTTTGATAGAGCAGTGTTGAAACACACTTTTTGTAGAATCCACAAGTATTCGTTTGGAGCGCTTTGTTGCCTATGTGGGAAAAAGGAATATCTTCACTTAAAAACTAGACAGAAGCATTCTCTGAAACTCCTCTGTGAAGTGTGTGTTCAATTCACATCGTTGAACCTTTCTTTTGATAGAGCAGTGTTGAAACATACTTTTTGTAGAATCTGCAAGTGTCCATTTCGAGTTCTTTTGTGCGTATGATGGAAAAAGTGATATCTTCACCTGAAAAATAGACAGAAGCATTCCAGAAACTGCTTTGTAACATGTGCATTCAACTCACAGTGTTGAACCTTCCTTTTGAGAGAGCGGTTTTGAAACAGTCTTTTTGTAGTATCTGCAAGTGGATATTTGCAGTGATTTGAGGCCGAAGAAGGAAAAGGAAATACCTTCAAATAAAAAACTAGACGGAAACATTTTCAGAAACTGCCTTGTGATGTGTGCATTCAACTCACAGAGTTGAACCTTCCTTTTGAGAGAGAAGTTTTGAAACAGTCTTTTTGTAGTATTTGCAAGTGGATATTTGGAGCGATTTGTGGAGTATGGTGGAAAATGAAATATCTTCACATACAAACTAGACAGAAGCATTCTCAGAAACTGCTTTGTGATGTGTGCATTTAAGTCACAGACTTGAAACTTACTTTAGGTAGAGCAGTGTTGAAACACACTTTTTGTATAATCTACAAGTGTTCTTTGGAGTGCTTTGTTGCCTATGTTGGAAAAAGAACTATCTTCACATAAAAACTAGACAGAAGCATTCTCAGAAACTCCTTTGTGATGGGTTTGTTCAATTCACATTGTTGAACCTTTCTTTTGATACAGCAGTGTTGAAACAAACATTTTGTAGAATCTGCAAGTGCTCATTTCAAATGCTTTGTGGCCTATGTTGGAAAAAGTGATATCTTCACCTAAAAAATAGACAGAAGCATTCTCAGGAACTGCTTTGTGATGTGTGCATTCAACTCACAGAGTTGAACCTTCCTTTTGAGAGAGCGGTTTTGAAACAGTCTTTTTGTAGTATCTGCAAGTGGATATTTGGAGCGATTTGAGGTCTAAGAAGGAAAAGGAAGTACCTTCAAATAAAAACTAGACAGAATCTTTCTCAGAAACTGCTTTGTGATGTGTGCATTTAACTCAAAGTCTTGATCCTTACTTTTGTTAGAGCAGTGTTGAAACACACTTTTTGTAGAACCTGGTAGTGTTCAGTTGGAGAGATTTGTTTCCTATGGTGGAAAAAGGATTATCTTCTCTTAAAAACTAGACAGAAGCATTCTTAGAAGCTGCTTTGTGATGTGTGTGTTCAATTCACAAAGTTGAAACTTTCCTTTGATAGAGCAGGTTTGAAACACTGCTTTTGTAGAATCTGCTTGTGGATATTGGGAGCTCTCTGAGGAATACGTTGTAAAAGGCATATCTTCACATACAATCTAGACAGAAGCATTCTCAGAAACTCCGTTGTGATGTGTGCATTCAACTCACAGAGTTGAACCTTCCATTTGAGAGAGCAGTGTTGAAACAGTCTTTTTGTAGTATCTGCAGGTGGATATTTGGAGCGATTTGAGGCCTATGATGGAAAAGGAAATATCTTCACATACAAACTAGACAGAAGCATTCTCAGAAACTGCTTTGTGATGTGTGCATTCAACCCACAGTATTTGAACCTTCCTTTTGAGAGAGCAGTGTTGAAACGGTCTTTTGTAGTATCTGCAAGTGGATATTTGGAGCGATTTGAGGCCTATGATGGAAAAGCAAATATCTTCACATACAAACTAGACAGAAGCATTCTCAGAAACTGCTTTGTGATGTGTGCATTCAACCGACAGATTTGAACTTTCCTTTGGAGAGGGAGGTTTTGAAACAGTCTTTTTTGTAGTATCTGCAATTGGATATTTGTAGTGACTTGGGGCCTCAGGTGGAAAAGGAAATACCTTCACATACAAAGTAGACAGAAGTATTCTCAGAAACTCCATTGTGATGTGTGCACTCAACTCACAGAGTTGAACCTTCCTTTTGAGAGAGCAGTTTTGAAACAGTCTTTTTGTAACGTCTGCAGGTGGATATTTGGAGCGATTCGTGTAGTATGATGGAAAAGGAAATATCTTCACATACAAACTAAACGGAAGCATTCTCAGAAACGTCTTCTGATGTGTGCGTTCACCTAACAGAGTGGAACCGTTCTTTTGATAGAGCAGTTTTGAATCAGTCTTTTGGTAGGTCCTGCAAGTTTTCATTTGGAGCGCTTTGAAGCCTATGGTGGAAAAGGGAATATCTTCGCAAAAAACTAGGCAGAAGCCTTCTCAGGAACTTCATTGAGATGTGTGCATTCAACTAACAGAGTTGAAACTGTCTTTTGACAGAGGAGGAATGAAACACTCCTTTTGTAGTATCTGATTGTGTGTATTTGGAACTCTTTGAGTTATTCGTTGGAAACGGGTATCTTCACATAAAAAGTAGACCCAAGCATTCTCAGAAGGTTCTTTGTGATGTGTGCGTTCAACTCACAGACTTGAAACTTTCTTTTGATAGAGCAGTGTTGAAACACACTTTTTGTAGAATCCACAAGTATTCCTTTGGAGCGCTTTGTTGCCTATGTGGGAAAAAGGAATATCTTCACTTAAAAACTAGACAGAAGCATTCTCTGAAACTCCTCTGTGAAGTGTGTGTTCAATTCACATCGTTGAACCTTTCTTTTGATAGAGCAGTGTTGAAACATACTTTTTGTAGAATCTGCAAGTGTCCATTTCGAGTTCTTTTGTGCGTATGCTGGAAAAAGTGATATCTTCACCTGAAAAATAGACAGAAGCATTCCAGAAACTGCTTTGTAACATGTGCATTCAACTCACAGTGTTGAACCTTCCTTTTGAGAGAGCGGTTTTGAAACAGTCTTTTTGTAGTATCTGCAAGTGGATATTTGCAGTGATTTGAGGCCGAAGAAGGAAAAGGAAATACCTTCAAATAAAAAACTAGACGGAAGCATTTTCAGAAACTGCCTTGTGATGTGTGCATTCAACTCACAGAGTTGAACCTTCCTTTTGAGAGAGAAGTTTTGAAACAGTCTTTTTGTAGTATTTGCAAGTGGATATTTGGAGCGATTTGTGGAGTATGGTGGAAAATGAAATATCTTCACATACAAACTAGACAGAAGCATTCTCAGAAACTGCTTTGTGATGTGTGCATTTAAGTGACAGACTTGAAACTTCCTTTAGGTAGAGCAGTGTTGAAACACACTTTTTGTATAATCTACAAGTGTTCTTTGGAGTGCTTTGTTGCCTATGTTGGAAAAAGAAATATCTTCACATAAAAACTAGACAGAAGCATTCTCAGAAACTCCTTTGTCATGGGTTTCTTCAATTCACATTGTTGAACCTTTCTTTTGATACAGCAGTGTTGAAACAAACATTTTGTAGAATCTGCAAGTGCTCATTTCAAATGCTTTGTGGCCTATGTTGGAAAAAGTGATACCTTCACCTAAAAAATAGACAGAAGCATTCTCAGGAACTGCTTTGTAATATGTGTATTCAACTCACAGAGTTGAACCTTCCTTTTGAGAGAGCGGTTTTGAAACAGTCTTTTTGTAGTATCTGCAAGTGGATATTTGGAGCGATTTGAGGTCTAAGAAGGAAAAGGATGTACCTTCAAATAAAAACTAGACAGAAGCTTTCTCAGAAACTGCTTTGTGATGTGCGCATTTAACTCAAAGTCTTGATCCTTACTTTTGTTAGAGCAGTGTTGAAACACACTTTTTGTAGAACCTGGTAGTGTTCATTTGGAGAGATTTGTTGCCTATGGTGGAAAAAGGATTATCTTCTCTTAAAAACTAGACAGAAGCATTCTTAGAAACTGCTTTGTGATGTGTGTGTTCAATTCACAGAGTTGAAACTTTCCTTTGACTGAGCAGGTTTGAAACACTGCTTCTGTAGAATCTGCTTGTGGATATTGGGAGCTCCTTGAGGAATACGTTGTAAAAGGCATATCTTCACATACAAACTAGACACAAGCATTCTCAGAAACTGCTTTGTGATGTGTGCATTCAACTCACAGAGTTGAACCTTCCATTTGAGAGAGGAGTGTTGAAACAGTCTTTTTGTAGTATCTTCAAGTGGATATTTGGAGCGATTTGAGGCCTATGATGGAAAAGGAAATATTTTCACATACAAACTAGACAGAAGCATTCTCAGAAACTGCTTTGTGATGTGTGCATTCAACCCACAGAGTTGAACCTTCCTTTTGAGAGAGCAGTGTTGAAACGGTCTTTTGTAGTATCTGCAAGTGGATATTTGGGGCGATTTGAGGCCTATGATGGAAAAGGAAATATCTTCACATACAAACTAGACAGAAGCATTCTCAGAAACTGCTTTGTGATGTGTGCATTCAACCGACAGATTTGAACTTTCCTTTGGAGAGGGAGGTTTTGAAACAGTCTTTTTGTAGTATCTGCAAGTGGATATTTCTAGTGACTTGGGGCCTCAGGTGGAAAAGGAAATACCTTCACATACAAAGTAGACAGAAGTATTCTCAGAAACTCCATTGTGATGTGTGCACTCAACTCACAGAGTTGAACCTTCCTTTTGAGAGAGCAGTTTTGAAACAGTCTTTTTGTAACGTCTGCAGGTGGATATTTGGAGCGATTCGAGTACTATGATGGAAAAGGAAATATCTTCACATACAAACTAAACAGAAACATTCTCAGAAACTTCTTGTGATGTGTGCCTTCACCTAACAGAGTGGAACCGTTCTTTTGATAGAGCAGTTTTGAATCAGTCTTTTTGTAGGACCTGCAAGTTTTCATTTGGAGCGCTGTGAAGCCTATGGTGGAAAAGGGAATATCTTCAAAAAAAACTAGGCAGAAGCCTTCTCAGGAACTTCATTGAGATGTGTGCATTCAACTAACAGAGTTGAAACTGTCTTTTGACAGAGGAGGAATGAAACACTCCTTTTGTAGTATCTGATTGTGTATATTTGGAACTCTTTGAGTTATTCGTTGGAAACGGGTATCTTCACATAAAAAGTAGACCCAAGCATTCTCAGAAGGTTCTTTGTGATGTGTGCGTTCAACTCACAGACTTGAAACTTTCTTTTGATAGAGCAGTGTTGAAACACACTTTTTGTAGAATCCACAAGTATTCGTTTGGAGCGCTTTGTTGCCTATGTGGGAAAAAGGAATATCTTCACTTAAAAACTAGACAGAAAGCATTCTCTGAAACTCCTCTGTGAAGTGTGTGTTCAATTCACATCGTTGAACCTTTCTTTTGATGGAGCAGTGTTGAAACATACTTTTTGTAGAATCTGCAAGTGTCCATTTCGAGTTCTTTTGTGCGTATGTTGGAAAAAGTGATATCTTCACCTGAAAAATAGACAGAAGCATTCCAGAAACTGCTTTGTAACATGTGCATTCAACTCACAGTGTTGAACCTTCCTTTTGAGAGAGCGGTTTTGAAACAGTCTTTTTGTAGTATCTGCAAGTGGATATTTGCAGTGATTTGAGGCCGAAGAAGGAAAAGGAAATACCTTCAAATAAAAAACTAGACGGAAGCATTTTCAGAAACTGCCTTGTGATGTGTGCATTCAACTCACAGAGTTGAACCTTCCTTTTGAGAGAGAAGTTTTGAAACAGTCTTTTTGTAGTATTTGCAAGTGGATATTTGGAGCAATTTGTGGAGTATGGTGGAAAATGAAATACCTTCACATACAAAGTAGACAGAAGCATTCTCAGAAACTGCTTTGTGATGTCTGCATTTAACTCACAGACTTGAAACTTCCTTTAGATAGAGCAGTGTTGAAACACACTTTTTGTATAATCTACAAGTGTTCTTTGGAGTGCTTTGTTGCCTATGTTGGAAAAAGAAATATCTTCACATAAAAACTAGACAGAAGCATTCTCAGAAACTCCTTTGTGATGGGTGTGTTCAATTCACATTGTTGAACCTTGATTTTGATACAGCAGTGTTGAAACAAACATTTTGTAGAATCTGCAAGTGTTCATTTCAAAGGCTTTGTGGCCTATGTTGGAAAAAGTGATATCTTCACCTAAAAAATAGACAGAAGCATTCTCAGGAACTGCTTTGTAATATGTGCATTCAACTCACAGAGCTGAACCTTCCTTTTGAGAGAGCGGTTTTGAAACAGTCTTTTTGTAGTATCTGCAAGTGGATATTTGGAGCGATTTGAGGTCTAAGAAGGAAAAGGAAGTACCTTCAAATAAAAACTAGACAGAAGCTTTCTCAGAAACTGCTTTGTGATGTGTGCATTTAACTCAAAGTCTTGATCCTTTCTTTTGATAGAGCAGTGTTGAAACACACTTTTGGTAGAACCTGCTAGTGTTCATTTGGAGAGATTTGTTGCCTATGGTGGAAAAAGGATTATCTTCTCTTAAAAACTAGAGAGAAGCATTCTTAGAAACTGCTTTGTGATGTGTGTGTTCAATTCACAGAGTTGAAACTTTCCTTTGATAGAGCAGGTTTGAAACACTGCTTTTGTAGAATCTGCTTGTGGATATTGGGAGCTCCTTCAGGAATACGTTGTAAAAGACATATCTTCACATACAAACTAGACAGAAGCATTCTCAGAAACTCCGTTGTGATGTGTGCATTCAACTCACAGAGTTGAACCTTCCATTTGAGAGAGCAGTGTTGAAACAGTCTTTTTGTAGTATCTGCAAGTGGATATTTGGAGCGATTTGAGGCCTATGATGGAAAAGGAAATATCCTCACATACAAACTAGACAGAAGCAGTCTCAGGAACTGCTTTGTGATGTGTGCATTCAACTCACAGATTTGAACTTTCCTTTTGAGAGGGAGGTTTTGAAACAGTCTTTTTGTAGTATCTGCAAGTGGATATTTGTAGTGACTTGGGGCCTCAGATGGAAAAGGAAATACCTTCACATACAAAGTAGACAGAAGTATTCTCAGAAACTCCATTGTGATGTGTGCACTCAACTCACAGAGTTGAACCTTCCTTTTGAGAGAGCAGTTTTGAAACAGTCTTTTTGTAGTGTCTGCAAGTGGATATTTGGAGCGACTTGAGGCCTATGATGGAAAAGGGAATATCTTCACATAAAAATTGGACAGAAGCATTCTCAGAAACTTCTTGTGATGTGTGCATTCACCTAACAGAGTGGAACCGTTCTTTTGATAGAGCAGTTTTGAATCAGTCTTTTGGTAGGACCTGCAAATTTTCATTTGGAGCGCTTTGAAGCCCATGGTGGAAAAGGGACTATCTTCACAAAAAACTAGGCAGAAGCCTTCTCAGGAACTTCATTGAGATGTGTGCATTCAACTAACAGAGTTGAAACTGTCTTTTGACAGAGGAGGGATGAAACACTCCTTTTGTAGTATCTGATTGTGTATATTTGGAACTCTTTCAGTTATTCGTTGGAAACGGGTATCTTCACATAAAAAGTAGACCCAAGCATTCTCAGAAGGTTCTTTGTGATGTGGGCGTTCGACTCACAGACTTGAAACTTTCTTTTGATAGAGCAGTGTTGAAACACACTTTTTGTAGAATCCACAAGTATTCCTTTGGAGCGCTTTGTTGCCTATGTGGGAAAAAGGAATATCTTCACTTAAAAACTAGACAGAAGCATTCTCTGAAACTCCTCTGTGAAGTGTGTGTTCAATTCACATCGTTGAACCTTTCTTTTGATAGAGCAGTGTTGAAACATACTTTTTGTAGAATCTGCAAGTGTCCATTTCGAGTTCTTTTGTGCGTATGTTGGAAAAAGTGATATCTTCACCTGAAAAATAGACAGAAGCATTCCAGAAACTGCTTTGTAACATATGCATTCAACTCACAGTGTTGAACCTTCCTTTTGAGAGAGCGGTTTTGAAACAGTCTTTTTGTAGTATCTGCAAGTGGATATTTGCAGTGATTTGAGGCCGAAGAAGGAAAAGGAAATACCTTCAAATAAAAAACTAGACGGAAGCATTTTCAGAAACTGCCTTGTGATGTGTGCATTCAACTCACAGAGTTGAACCTTCCTTTTGAGAGAGAAGTTTTGAAACAGTCTTTTTGTAGTATTTGCAAGTGGATATTTGGAGCGATTTGTGGAGTATGGTGGAAAATGAAATACCTTCACATACAAAGTAGACAGAAGCATTCTCAGAAACTGCTTTGTGATGTGTGCATTTAAGTCACAGACTTGAAACTTCCTTTAGGTAGAGCAGTGTTGAAACACACTTTTTGTATAATCTACAAGTGTTCTTTGGAGTGCTTTGTTGCCTATGTTGGAAAAAGAAATATCTTCACATAAAAACTAGACAGAAGCATTCTCAGAAACTCCTTTGTGATGGGTTTGTTCAATTCACATTGTTGAACCTTTCTTTTGATACAGCAGGGTTGAAACAAACATTTTGTAGAATCTGCAAGTGTTCATTTCAAATGCTTTGTGGCCTATGTTGGAAAAAGTGATATCTTCACCTAAAAAATAGACAGAAGCATTCTCAGGAACTGCTTTGTAATATGTGCATTCAACTCACAGAGTTGAACCTTCCTTTTGAGAGAGCGGTTTTGAAACAGTCTTTTTGTAGTATCTGCAAGTGGATATTTGGAGCGATGTGAGGTCTGAGAAGGAAAAGGAAGTACCTTCAAATAAAAACTAGACAGAAGCTTTCTCAGAAACTGCTTGGTGATGTGCACATTTAACTCAAAGTCTTGATCCTTACTTTTGTTAGAGCAGTGTTGAAACACACTTTTTGTAGAACCTGGTAGTGTTCATTTGGAGAGATTTGTTGCCTATGGTGGAAAAAGGATTATCTTCTCTTAAAAACTAGACAGAAGCATTCTTACAAACTGCTTTGTGATGTGTGTGTTCAATTCACAGAGTTGAAACTTTCCTTTGACAGAGCAGGTTTGAAACACTGCTTTTGTAGAATCTGCTTGTGGATATCGGGAGCTCCTTGAGGAACACGTTGTAAAAGGCATATCTTCACATACAAACTAGAGAGAAGCATTCTCAGAAACTCCGTTGTGATGTGTGCATTCAACTCACAGAGTTGAACCTTCCATTTGAGAGAGCAGTGTTGAAACAGTCTTTTTGTAGTATCTGCAAGTGGATATTTGGAGCGATTTGAGGCCTATGATGGAAAAGGAAATAACTTCACATACAAACTAGACAGAAGCATTCTCAGAAACTGCTTTGTGATGTGTGCATTCAACCCACAGAGTTGAACCTTCCTTTTGAGAGAGCAGTGTTGAAACGGTCTTTTGTAGTATCTGCAAGTGGATATTTGGAGCGATTTGAGGCCTATGATGGAAAAGGAAATATCTTCACATACAAACTAGACAGAAGCAGTCTGAGGAACTGCTTTGTGATGTGTGCATTCAACTCACAGATTTGAACTTTCCTTTTGAGAGGGAGGTTTTGAAACAGTCTGTTTGTAGTATCTGCAAGTGGATATTTGTAGTGACTTGGGGCCTCGGATGGAAAAGGAAATACCTTCACATACAAACTAGAGAGAAGTATTCTCAGAAACTCCATTGTGATGTGTGCACTCAACTCACAGAGTTGAACCTTCCTTTTGAGAGAGCAGTTTTGAAACAGTCTTTTTGTAACGTCTGCAGGTGGATATTTGGAGCGATTCGAGTAGTATGATGGAAAAGGAAATATCTTCACATACAAACTAAACAGAAGCATTCTCAGAAACTTCTTGTGATGTGTGCATTCACCTAACAGAGTGGAACCGTTCTTTTGATAGAGCAGTTTTGAATCAGTCTTTTGGTAGGACCTGCAAGTTTTCATTTGGAGCGCTTTGAAGCCCATGGTGGAAAAGGGACTATCTTCACAAAAAACTAGGCAGAAGCCTTCTCAGGAACTTCATTGAGATGTGTGCATTCAACTAACAGAGTTGAAACTGTCTTTTGACAGAGGAGGAATGAAACACTCCTTTTGTAGTATCTGATTGTGTGTATTTGGAACTCTTTGAGTTATTCGTTGGAAACGGGTATCTTCACATAAAAAGTAGACCCAAGCATTCTCAGAAGGTTCTTTGTGATGTGTGCGTTCAACTCACAGACTTGAAACTTTCTTTTGATAGAGCAGTGTTGAAACACACTTTTTGTAGAATCCACAAGTATTCCTTTGGAGCGCTTTGTTGCCTATGTGGGAAAAAGGAATATCTTCACTTAAAAACTAGACAGAAGCATTCTCTGAAACTCCTCTGTGAAGTGTGTGTTCAATTCACATCGTTGAACCTTTCTTTTGATAGAGCAGTGTTGAAACATACTTTTTGTAGAATCTGCAAGTGTCCATTTCGAGTTCTTCTGTGCGTATGCTGGAAAAAGTGATATCTTCACCTGAAAAATAGACAGAAGCATTCCAGAAACTGCTTTGTAACATGTGCATTCAACTCACAGTGTTGAACCTTCCTTTTGAGAGAGCGGTTTTGAAACAGTCTTTTTGTAGTATCTGCAAGTGGATATTTGCAGTGATTTGAGGCCGAAGAAGGAAAAGGAAATACCTTCAAATAAAAAACTAGACGGAAGCATTTTCAGAAACTGCCTTGTGATGTGTGCATTCAACTCACAGAGTTGAACCTTCCTTTTGAGAGAGAAGTTTTGAAACAGTCTTTTTGTAGTATTTGCAAGTGGATATTTGGAGCGATTTGTGGAGTATGGTGGAAAATGAAATATCTTCACATACAAACTAGACAGAAGCATTCTCAGAAACTGATTTGTGATGTGTGCATTTAACTCACAGACTTGAAACTTCCTTTAGATAGAGCAGTGTTGAAACACACTTTTTGTATAATCTACAAGTGTTCTTTGGAGTGCTTTGTTGCCTATGTTGGAAAAAGAAATATCTTCACATAAAAACTAGACAGAAGCATTCTCAAAAACTCCTTTGTGATGGGTGTGTTCAATTCACATTGTTGAACCTTTCTTTTGATACAGCAGTGTTGAAACAAACATTTTGTAGAATCTGCAAATGTTCATTTCAAATGCTTTGTGGCCTATGTTGGAAAAAGAGATATCTTCACCTAAAAAATAGACAGAAGCATTCTCAGGAACTGCTTTGTAATATGTGCATTCAACTCACAGAGTTGAACCTTCCTTTTGAGAGAGCGGTTTTGAAACAGTCTTTTTGTAGTATCTGCAAGTGGATATTTGGAGCGATTTGAGGTCTAAGAAGGAAAAGGAAGTACCTTCAAATAAAAACTAGACAGAAGCTTTCTCAGAAACTGCTTTGTGATGTGTGCATTTAACTCAAAGTCTTGATCCTTACTTTTGTTAGAGCAGTGTTGAAACACACTTTTTGTAGAACCTGGTAGTGTTCATTTGGAGAGATTTTTTGCCTATGGTGGAAAAAGGATTATCTTCTCTTTAAAACTAGACAGAAGCATTCTTAGAAACTGCTTTGTGATGTGTGTGTTCAATTCACAGAGTTGAAACTTTCCTTTGACAGAGCAGGTTTGAAACACTGATTCTGTAGAATCTGCTTGTGGATATTGGGAGCTCCTTGACGAATACGTTTTAAAAGGCATATCTTCACATACAAACTAGACAGAAGCATTCTCAGAAACTGCTTTGTGATGTGTGCATTCAACTCACAGAGTTGAACCTTCCATTTGAGAGAGCAGTGTTGAAACGGTCTTTTTGTAGTATCTTCAAGTGGATATTTGGAGCGATTTGAGGCCTATGATGGAAAAGGAAATATCTTCACATACAAACTAGACAGAAGCATTCTCAGAAACTGCTTTGTGATGTGTGCATTCAACCCACAGAGTTGAACCTTCCTTTTGAGAGAGCAGTGTTGAAACGGTCTTTTGTAGTATCTGCAAGTGGATATTTGGAGCGATTTGAGGCCTATGATGGAAAAGGAAATATCTTCACATACAAACTAGACAGAAGCATTCTCAGAAACTGTTTTGTGATGTGTGCATTCAACCGACAGATTTGAACTTTCCTTTGGAGAGGGAGGTTTTGAAACAGTCTTTTTGTAGTATCTGCAAGTGGATATTTGTAGTGACTTGGGGCCTCAAGTGGAAAAGGAAATACCTTCACATACAAAGTAGACAGAAGTATTCTCAGAAACTCCATTGTGATGTGTGCACTGAACTCACAGAGTTGAACCTTCCTTTTGAGAGAGCAGTTTTGAAACAGTCTTTTTGTAACGTCTGCAGGTGGATATTTGGAGCGATTCGAGTACTATGATGGAAAAGGAAATATCTTCACATACAAACTAAACAGAAGCATTCTCAGAAACTTCTTGTGATGTGTGCATTCACCTAACAGAGTGGAACCGTTCTTTTGATAGAGCAGTTTTGAATCAGTCTTTTGGTAGGACCTGCAAGTTTTCATTTGGAGCGCTTTGAAGCCCATGGTGGAAAAGGGACTATCTTCACAAAAAACTAGGCAGAAGCCTTCTCAGGAACTTCATTGAGATGTGTGCATTCAACTAACAGAGTTGAAACTGTCTTTTGACAGAGGAGGAATGAAACACTCCTTTTGTAGTATCTGATTGTGTATATTTGGAACTCTTTGAGTTATTCGTTGGAAACGGGTATCTTCACATAAAAAGTAGACCCAAGCATTCTCAGAAGGTTCTTTGTGATGTGTGCGTTCGACTCACAGACTTGAAACTTTCTTTTGATAGAGCAGTGTTGAAACACACTTTTTGTAGAATCCACAAGTATTCATTTGGAGCGCTTTGTTGCCTACGTGGGAAAAAGGAATATCTTCACTTAAAAACTAGACAGAAGCATTCTCTGAAACTCCTCTGTGAAGTGTGTGTTCAATTCACATCGTTGAACCTTTCTTTTGATAGAGCAGTGTTGAAACATACTTTTTGTAGAATCTGCAAGTGTCCATTTCGAGTTCTTTTGTGCGTATGTTGAAAAAAGTGATATCTTCACCTGAAAAATAGACAGAAGCATTCCAGAAACTGCTTTGTAACATGTGCATTCAACTCACAGTGTTGAACGTTCCTTTTGAGAGAGCGGTTTTGAAACAGTCTTTTTGTAGTATCTGCAAGTGGATATTTGCAGTGATTTGAGGCCGAAGAAGGAAAAGGAAATACCTTCAAATAAAAAACTAGACGGAAGCATTTTCAGAAACTGCCTTGTGACGTGTGCATTCAACTCACAGAGTTGAACCTTCCTTTTGAGAGAGAAGTTTTGAAACAGTCTTTTTGTAGTATTTGCAAGTGGATATTTGGAGCGATTTGTGGAGTATGGTGGAAAATGAAATATCTTCACATACAAACTAGACAGAAGCATTCTCAGAAACTGCTTTGTGATGTGTGCATTTAAGTCACAGACTTGAAACTTCCTTTAGGTAGAGCAGTGTTGAAACACACTTTTTGTATAATCTACAAGTGTTCTTTGGAGTGCTTTGTTGCCTATTTTGGAAAAAGAAATATCTTCACATAGAAACTAGACAGAAGCATTCTCAGAAACTCCTTTGTGATGGGTGTGTTCAATTCACATTGTTGAACCTTGATTTTGATACAGCAGTGTTGAAACAAACATTTTGTAGAATCTGCAAGTGTTCATTTCAAATGCTTTGTGGCCTATGTTGGAAAAAGTGATATCTTCACCTAAAAAATAGACAGAAGCATTCTCAGGAACTGCTTTGTAATATGTGCATTCAACTCACAGAGTTGAACCTTCCTTTTGAGAGAGCGGTTTTGAAACAGTCTTTTTGTAGTATCTGCAAGTGGATATTTGGAGCGATTTGAGGTCTAAGAAGGAAAAGGAAGTACCTTCAAATAAAAACTAGACAGAAGCTTTCTCAGAAACTGCTTTGTGATGTGTGCATTTAACTCAAAGTCTTGATCCTTACTTTTGTTAGAGCAGTGTTGAAACACACTTTTTGTAGAACCTGGTAGTGTTCATTTGGAGAGATTTGTTGCCTATGGTGGAAAAATGATTATCTTCTCTTAAAAACTAGACAGAAGCATTCTTAGAAACTGCTTTGTGATGTGTGTGTTCAATTCACAGAGTTGAAACTTTCCTTTGACAGAGCAGGTTTGAAACACTGCTTCTGTAGAATCTGCTTGTGGATATTGGGAGCTCCTTGAGGAATACGTTGTAAAAGGCATATCTTCACATACAAACTAGACAGAAGCATTCTCAGAAACTGTTTTGTGATGTGTGCATTCAACTCACAGAGTTGAACCTTCCATTTGAGAGAGCAGTGTTGAAACGGTCTTTTTGTAGTATCTTCAATTGGATATTTGGAGCGATTTGAGGCCTATGATGGAAAAGGAAATATCTTCACATACAAACTAGACAGAAGCATTCTCAGAAACTGCTTTGTGATGTGTGCATTCAACCCACAGAGTTGAACCTTCCTTTTGAGAGAGCAGTGTTGAAACGGTCTTTTGTAGTATCTGCAAGTGGATATTTGGAGCGATTTGAGGCCTATGATGGAAAAGGAAATATCTTCACATACAAACTAGACAGAAGCATTCTCAGAAACTGCTTTGTGATGTGTGCATTCAACCGACAGATTTGAACTTTCCTTTGGAGAGGGAGGTTTTGAAACAGTCTTTTTGTAGTATCTGCAAGTGGATATTTGTAGTGACTTGGGGCCTCAGGTGGAAAAGGAAATACCTTCACATACAAAGTAGACAGAAGTATTCTCAGAAACTCCATTGTGATGTGTGCACTCAACTCACAGAGTTGAACCTTCCTTTTGAGAGAGCAGTTTTGAAACAGTCTTTTTGTAACGTCTGCATGTGGATATTTAGAGCGATTCGAGTAGTATGATGGAAAAGGAAATATCTTCACATACAAACTAAACAGAAGCATTCTCAGAAACTTCTTGTGATGTGTGCATTCACCTAACAGAGTGGAACCGTTCTTTTGATAGAGCAGTTTTGAATCAGTCTTTTGGTAGGACCTGCAAGTTTTCATTTGGAGCGCTTTGAAGCCCATGGTGGAAAAGGGACTATCTTCACAAAAAACTAGGCAGAAGCCTTCTCAGGAACTTCATTGAGATGTGTGCATTCAACTAACAGAGTTGAAACTGTCTTTTGACAGAGGAGGAATGAAACACTCCTTTTGTAGTATCTGATTGTGTGTATTTGGAACTCTTTGAGTTATTCGTTGGAAACGGGTATCTTCACATAAAAAGTAGACCCAAGCATTCTCAGAAGGTTCTTTGTGATGTGTGCGTTCAACTCACAGACTTGAAACTTTCTTTTGATAGAGCAGTGTTGAAACACACTTTTTGTAGAATCCACAAGTATTCGTTTGGAGCGTTTTGTTGCCTATGTGGGAAAAAGGAATATCTTCACTTAAAAACTAGACAGAAGCATTCTCTGAAACTCCTCTGTGAAGTGTGTGTTCAATTCACATCGTTGAACCTTTCTTTTGATAGAGCAGTGTTGAAACATACTTTTTGTAGAATCTGCAAGTGTCCATTTCGAGTTCTTTTGTGCGTATGCTGGAAAAAGTGATATCTTCACCTGAAAAATAGACAGAAGCATTCCAGAAACTGCTTTGTAACATGTGCATTCAACTCACAGTGTTGAACCTTCCTTTTGAGAGAGCGGTTTTGAAACAGTCTTTTTGTAGTATCTGCAAGTGGATATTTGCAGTGATTTGAGGCCGAAGAAGGAAAAGGAAATACCTTCAAATAAAAAACTAGACGGAAGCATTTTCAGAAAATGCCTTGTGATGTGTGCATTCAACTCACAGAGTTGAACCTTCCTTTTGAGAGAGAAGTTTTGAAACAGTCTTTTTGTAGTATTTGCAAGTGGATATTTGGAGCGATTTGTGGAGTATGGTGGAAAATGAAATATCTTCACATACAAACTAGACAGAAGCATTGTCAGAAACTGCTTTGTGATGTGTGCATTTAAGTCACAGACTTGAAACTTCCTTTAGCTAGAGCAGTGTTGAAACACACTTTTTGTATAATCTACAAGTGTTCTTTGGAGTGCTTTGTTGCCTATGTTGGAAAAAGAAATATCTTCACATAAAAACTAGACAGAAGCATTCTCAGAAACTCCTTTGTGATGGGTGTGTTCAATTCACATTGTTGAACCTTTCTTTTGATACAGCAGTGTTGAAACAAACATTTTGTAGAATCTGCAAGTGTTCATTTCAAATGCTTTGTGGCCTATGTTGGGAAAAAGTGATATCTTCACCTAAAAAATAGACAGAAGCATTCTCAGGAACTGCTTTGTAATATGTGCATTCAACTCACAGAGTTGAACCTTCCTTTTGAGAAGGCGGTTTTGAAACAGTCTTTTTGTAGTATCTGCAAGTGGATATTTGGAGCGATTTGAGGTCTAAGAAGGAAAAGGAAGTACCTTCAAATAAAAACTAGACAGAAGCTTTCTCAGAAACTGCTTTGTGATGTGTGCATTTAACTCAAAGTCTTGATCCTTACTTTTGTTAGAGCAGTGTTGAAACACACATTTTGTAGAACCTGGTAGTGTTCATTTGGAGAGATTTGTTGCCTATGGTGGAAAAAGGATTATCTTCTCTTAAAAACTAGACAGAAGCATTCTTAGAAACTGCTTTGTGATGTGTGTGTTCAATTCACAGAGTTGAAACTTTCCTTTGACAGAGCAGGTTTGAAACACTGCTTCTGTAGAATCTGCTTGTGGATATTGGGAGCTCCTTGAGGAATACGCTGTAAAAGGCATATCTTCACATACAAACTAGACAGAAGCATTCTCAGAAACTGCTTTGTGATGTGTGCATTTAACTCACAGAGTTGAACCTTCCATTTGAGAGAGCAGTGTTGAAACGGTCTTTTTGTAGTATCTTCAATTGGATATTTGGAGCGATTTGAGGCCTATGATGGAAAAGGAAATATCTTCACATACAAACTAGACAGAAGCATTCTCAGAAACTGCTTTGTGATATGTGCATTGAACTCACAGAGTTGAACCTTCCTTTTGAGAGAGCAGTTTTGAAACCGTCTTTTTGTAGTATCTGGAAGTGGATATTTGGCGCTAATTGAGGCCATTGTGGAATAGGAAATATCTTCACATACAAACTAGACAGAAGCATTCTCAGAAACTGCTTTGTGATGTGTGCATTCAACCGACAGATTTGAACTTTCCTTTTGAGAGGGAGGTTTTGAAACAGTCTTTTTGTAGTATCTGCAAGTGGATATTTGTAGGGACTTGGGGCCTCAGGTGGGAAAGGAAATACCTTCACATACAAAGTAGACAGAAGTATTCTCAGAAACTCCATTGTGATGTGTGCACTCAACTCACAGAGTTGAACCTTCCTTTTGAGAGAGCAGTTTTGAAACAGTCTTTTTGTAACGTCTGCAGGTGGATATTTGGAGCGATTCGAGTAGTATGATGGAAAAGGAAATATCTTCACATACAAACTAAACAGAAGCATTCTCAGAAATTTCTTGTGATGTGTGCATTCACCTAACAGAGTGGAACCGTTCTTTTGATAGAGCAGTTTTGAATCAGTCTTTTGGTAGGACCTGCAAGTTTTCATTTGGAGCGCTTTGAAGCCCATGGTGGAAAAGGGACTATCTTCACAAAAAACTAGGCAGAAGCCTTCTCAGGAACTTCATTGAGATGTGTGCATTCAACTAACAGAGTTGAAACTGTCTTTTGACAGAGGAGGAATGAAACACTCCTTTTGTAGTATCTGATTGTGTATATTTGGAACTCTTTGAGTTATTCGTTGGAAACGGGTATCTTCACATAAAAAGTAGACCCAAGCATTCTCAGAAGGTTCTTTGTGATGTGTGCGTTCAACTCACAGACTTGAAACTTTCTTTTGATAGAGCAGTGTTGAAACACACTTTTTGTAGAATCCACAAGTATTCCTTTGGAGCGCTTTGTTGCCTATGTGGGAAAAAGGAATATCTTCACTTAAAAACTAGACAGAAGCATTCTCTGAAACTCCTCTGTGAAGTGTGTGTTCAATTCACATCGTTGAACCTTTCTTTTGATAGAGCAGTGTTGAAACATACTTTTTGTAGAATCTGCAAGTGTCCATTTCGAGTTCTTTGGGCGTATGCTGGAAAAAGTGATATCTTCACCTGAAAAATAGACAGAAGCATTCCAGAAACTGCTTTGTAACATGTGCATTCAACTCACAGTGTTGAACCTTCCTTTTGAGAGAGCGGTTTTGAAACAGTCTTTTTGTAGTATCTGCAAGTGGATATTTGCAGTGATTTGAGGCCGAAGAAGGAAAAGGAAATACCTTCAAATAAAAAACTAGACGGAAGCATTTTCAGAAACTGCCTTGTGATGTGTGCATTCAACTCACAGAGTTGAACCTTCCTTTTGAGAGAGAAGTTTTGAAACAGTCTTTTTGTAGTATTTGCAAGTGGATATTTGGAACGATTTGTGGAGTATGGTGGAAAATGAAATATCTTCACATACAAACTAGACAGAAGCATTGTCAGAAACTGCTTTGTGATGTGTGCATTTAAGTCACAGACTTGAAACTTCCTTTAGGTAGAGCAGTGTTGAAACACACTTTTTGTATAATCTACAAGTGTTCTTTGGAGTGCTTTGTTGCCTATGTTGGAAAAAGAAATATCTTCACATAAAAACTAGACAGAAGCATTCTCAGAAACTCCTTTGTAATGGGTTTGTTCAATTCACATTGTTGAACCTTTCTTTTGATACAGCAGTGTTGAAACAAACATTTTGTAGAATCTGCAAGGGTTCATTTCAAATGCTTTGCGGCCTATGTTGGAAAAAGTGATATCTTCACCTAAAAAATAGACAGAAGCATTCTCAGGAACTGCTTTGTAATATGTGCATTCAACTCACAGAGTTGAACCTTCCTTTTGAGAGAGCGGTTTTGAAACAGTCTTTTTGTAGTATCTGCAAGTGGATATTTGGAGCGATTTGAGGTCTAAGAAGGAAAAGGAAGTACCTTCAAATAAAAACTAGACAGAAGCTTTCTCAGAAACTGCTTTGTGATGTGTGCATTTAACTCAAAGTCTTGATCCTTACTTTTGTTAGAGCAGTGTTGAAACACACTTTTTGTAGAACCTGGTAGTGTTCATTTGGAGAGATTTGTTGCCTATGGTGGAAAAAGGATTATCTTCTCTTAAAAACTAGACAGAAGCATTCTTAGAAACTGCTTTGTGATGTGTGTGTTCAATTCACAGAGTTGAAACTTTCCTTTGACAGAGCAGGTTTGAAACACTGCTTCTGTAGAATCTGCTTGTGGATATTGGGAGCTCCTTGAGGAATACGTTGTAAAAGGCATATCTTCACATACAAACTAGACAGAAGCATTCTCAGAAACTGCTTTGTGATGTGTGCATTCAACTCACAGAGTTGAACCTTCCGTTTGAGAGAGCAGTGTTGAAACGATCTTTTTGTAGTATCTTCAATTGGATATTTGGAGCGATTTGAGGCCTATGATGGAAAAGGAAATATCTTCACATACAAACTAGACAGAAGCATTCTCAGAAACTGCTTTGTGATGTGTGCATTCAACCCACAGAGTTGAACCTTCCTTTTGAGAGAGCAGTGTTGAAACGGTCTTTTGTAGTATCTGCAAGTGGATATTTGGAGCGATTTGAAGCCTATGATGGAAAAGCAAATATCTTCACATACAAACTAGACAGAAGCATTCTCAGAAACTGCTTTGTGATGTGTGCATTCAACCGACAGATTTGAACTTTCCTTTGGAGAGGGAGGTTTTGAAACAGTCTTTTTGTAGTATCTGCAAGTGGATATTTGTAGTGACTTGGGGCCTCAGGTGGAAAAGGAAATACCTTCACATACAAAGTAGACAGAAGTATTCTCAGAAACTCCATTGTGATGTGTGCACTCAACTCACAGAGTTGAACCTTCCTTTTGAGAGAGTAGTTTTGAAACAGTCTTTTTGTAACGTCTGCAGGTGGATATTTGGAGCGATTCGTGTAGTATGATGGAAAAGGAAATATCTTCACATACAAACTAAACAGAAGCATTCTCAGAAACTTCTTGTGATGTGTGCATTCACCTAACAGAGTGGAACCGTTCTTTTGATAGAGCAGTTTTGAATCAGTCTTTTGGTAGGACCTGCAAGTTTTCATTTGGAGCGCTTTGAAGCCCATGGTGGAAAAGGGACTATCTTCACAAAAAACTAGGCAGAAGCCTTCTCAGGAACTTCATTGAGATGTGTGCATTCAACTAACAGAGTTGAAACTGTCTTTTGACAGAGCAGGAATGAAACACTCCTTTTGTAGTATCTGATTGTGTGTATTTGGAACTCTTTGAGTTATTCGTTGGAAACAGGTATCTTCACATAAATAGTAGACCCAATCATTCTCAGAAGGTTCTTTGTGATGTGTGCGTTCAACTCACAGACTTGAAACTTTCTTTTGATAGAGCAGTGTTGAAACACACTTTTTGTAGAATCCACAAGTATTTATTTGGAGCGCTTTGTTGCCTATGTGGGAAAAAGGAATATCTTCACTTAAAAACTAGACAGAAGCATTCTCTGAAACTCCTCTGTGAAGTGTGTGTTCAATTCACATCGTTGAACCTTTCTTTTGATAGAGCAGTGTTGAAACATACTTTTTGTAGAATCTGCAAGTGTCCATTTCGAGTTCTTTTGTGCGTATGTTGGAAAAAGTGATATCTTCACCTGAAAAATAGACAGAAGCATTCCAGAAACTGCTTTGCAACATGTGCATTCAACTCACAGTGTTGAACCTTCCTTTTGAGAGAGCGGTTTTGAAACAGTCTTTTTGTAGTATCTGCAAGTGGATATTTGCAGTGATTTGAGGCCGAAGAAGGAAAAGGAAATACCTTCAAATAAAAAACTAGACGGAAGCATTTTCAGAAACTGCCTTGTGATGTGTGCATTCAACTCACAGAGTTGAACCTTCCTTTTGAGAGAGAAGTTTTGAAACAGTCTTTTTGTAGTATTTGCAAGTGGATATTTGGAGCGATTTGTGGAGTATGGTGGAAAATGAAATATCTCCACATACAAACTAGACAGAAGCATTCTCAGAAACTACTTTGTGATGTGTGCATTTAACTCACGGACTTGAAACTTCCTTTAGATAGAGCAGTGTTGAAACACACTTTTTGTATAATCTACAAGTGTTCTTTGGAGTGCTTTGTTGCCTATGATGGAAAAAGAAATATCTTCACATAACAACTAGACAGAAGCATTCTCAGAAACTCCTTTGTGATGGGTGTGTTCAATTCACATTGTTGAACCTTGCTTTTGATACAGCAGTGTTGAAACAAACATTTTGTAGAATCTGCAAGTGTTCATTTCAAATGCTTTGTGGCCTATGTTGGAAAAAGTGATATCTTCACCTAAAAAATAGACAGAAGCATTCTCAGGAACTGCTTTGTAATATGTGCATTCAACTCACAGAGTTGAACCTTCCTTTTGAGAGAGCGGTTTTGAAAGAGTCTTTTTGTAGTATCTGCAAGTGGATATTTGGAGCGATTTGAGGTCTAAGAAGGAAAAGGAAATACCTTCAAATAAAAACTAGACAGAAGCTTTCTCAGAAACTGCTTTGTGATGTGTGCATTTAACTCAAAGTCTTGATCCTTTCTTTTGATAGAGCATTGTTGAAACACACTTTTTGTAGAACCTGGTAGTGTTCATTTGGAGAGATTTGTTGCCTATGGTGGAAATGGATTATCTTCTCTTAAAAACTAGACAGAAGCATTCTTAGAAACTGCTTTGTGATGTGTGTGTTCAATTCACAGAGTTGAAACTTTCCTTTGATAGAGCAGGTTTGAAACACTGCTTTTGTAGAATCTGCTTGTGGATATTGGGAGCTCTTTGAGGAATACGTTGTAAAAGGCATATCTTCACATACAAACTAGACAGAAGCATTCTCAGAAACTCCGTTGTGATGTGTGCATTCAACTCACAGAGTTGAACCTTCCATTTGAGAGAGCAGTGTTGAAACAGTCTTTTTGTAGTATCTTCAAGTGGATATTTGGAGCGATTTGAGGCCTATGATGGAAAAGGAAATATCTTCACATACAAACTAGACAGAAGCATTCTCAGAAACTGCTTTGTGATGTGTGCATTCAACCCACAGAGTTGAACCTTCCTTTTGAGAGAGCAGTGTTGAAACGGTCTTTTGTAGTATCTGCAAGTGGATATTTGGAGCGATTTGAGGCCTATGATGGAAAAGGAAATAACTTCACATACAAAATTGACAGAAGCAGTCTCAGGAACTGCTTTGTGATGTGTGCATTCAACTCACAGATTTGAACTTTCCTTTTGAGAAGGAGGTTTTGAAACTGTCTTTTTGTAGTATCTACAAGTGGATATTTGTAGTGACTTGGGGCCTCAGATGGAAAAAAAATACCTTCACATACAAACTAGAAAGAAGTATTCTCAGAAACTCCATTGTGATGTGTGCACTCAAATCACAGAGTTGAACCTTCCTTTTGAGAGAGCAGTTTTGAAACAGTCTTTTTGTAATGTCTGCAAGTGGATATTTGGAGCGATTCGAGTACTGTGATGGAAAAGGAAATATCTTCACATACAAACTAAACAGAAGCATTCTCAGAAACTTCTTGTGATGTGTGCGTTCACCTAACAGAGTGGAACCGTTCTTTTGATAGAGCAGTTTTGAATCAGTCTTTTGGTAGGACCTGCAAGTTTTCATTTGGAGCGCTTTGAAGCCCATGGTGGAAAAGGGACTATCTTCACAAAAAACTAGGCAGAAGCCTTCTCAGGAACTTCATTGAGATGTGTGCATTCAACCAACAGAGTTGAAACTGTCTTTTGACAGAGGAGGAATGAAACACTCCTTTTGTAGTATCTGATTGTGTATATTTGGAACTCTTTGAGTTATTCGTTGGAAACGGGTATCTTCACATAAAAAGTAGACCCAAGCATTCTCAGAAGGTCCTTTGTGATGTGTGCGTTCAACTCACAGACTTGAAACTTTCTTTTGATAGAGCAGTGTTGAAACACACTTTTTGTAGAATCCACAAGTATTCATTTGGAGCGCTTTGTTGCCTATGTGGGAAAAAGTAATATCTTCACTTAAAAACTAGACAGAAGCATTCTCTGAAACTCCTCTGTGAAGTGTGTGTTCAATTCACATCGTTGAACCTTTCTTTTGATAGAGCAGTGTTGAAACATAATTTTTGTAGAATCTGCAAGTGTAAATTTCGAGTTCTTTTGTGCGTATGCTGGAAAAAGTGATATCTTCACCTGAAAAATAGACAGAAGCATTCCAGAAACTGCTTTGTAACATGTGCATTCAACTCACAGTGTTGAACCTTCCTTTTGAGAGAGCGGTTTTGAAACAGTCTTTTTGTAGTATCTGCAAGTGGATATTTGCAGTGATTTGAGGCCGAAGAAGGAAAAGGAAATACCTTCAAATAAAAAACTAGACGGAAGCATTTTCAGAAACTGCCTTGTGATGTGTGCATTCAACTCACAGAGTTGAACCTTCCTTTTGAGAGAGAACTTTTGAAACAGTCTTTTTGTAGTATTTGCAAGTGGATATTTGGAGCGATTTGTGGAGTATGGTGGAAAATGAAATATCTTCACATACAAACTAGACAGAAGCATTCTCAGAAACTGCTTTGTGATGTGTGCATTTAACTCACAGACTTGAAACTTGCTTTAGGTAGAGCAGTGTTGAAACACACTTTTTGTATAATCTAAAAGTGTTCTTTGGAGTGCTTTGTTGCCTATGTTGGAAAAAGAAATATCTTCACATAAAAACTAGACAGAAGCATTCTCAGAAACTCCTTTGTAATGGGTTTGTTCAATTCACATTGTTGAACCTTTCTTTTGATACAGCAGTGTTGAAACAAACATTTTGTAGAATCTGCAAGGGTTCATTTCAAATGCTTTGCGGCCTATGTTGGAAAAAGTGATATCTTCACCTAAAAAATAGACAGAAGCATTCTCAGGAACTGCTTTGTAATATGTGCATTCAACTCACAGAGTTGAACCTTCCTTTTGAGAGAGCGGTTTTGAAACAGTCTTTTTGTAGTATCTGCAAGTGGATATTTGGAGCGATTTGAGGTCTAAGAAGGAAAAGGAAGTACCTTCAAATAAAAACTAGACAGAAGCTTTCTCAGAAACTGCTTTGTGATGTGTGCATTTAACTCAAAGTCTTGATCCTTTCTTTTGATAGAGCAGTGTTGAAACACACTTTTTGTAGAACCTGCTAGTGTTCATTTGGAGAGATTTCTTGCCTATGGTGGAAAAAGGATTATCTTCTCTTAAAAACTAGAGAGAAGCATTCTTAGAAACTGCTTTGTGATGTGTGTGTTCAATTCACAGAGTTGAAACTTTCCTTTGATAGAGCAGGTTTGAAACACTGCTTTTGTAGAATCTGCTTGTGGATAGTGGGAGCTCTTTGAGGAATACGTTGTAAAAGGCATATCTTCACATACAAACTAGACAGAAGCATTCTCAGAAACTGCTTTGTGATGTGTGCATTCAACTCACAGAGTTGAACCTTCCATTTGAGAGAGCAGTGTTGAAACAGTCTTTTTGTAGTATCTGCAAGTGGATATTTGGAGCGATTTGAGGCCTATGATGGAAAAGGAAATATCTTCACATACAAACTAGACAGAAACATTCTCAGAAACTGCTTTGTGATGTGTGCATTCAACCCACAGAGTTGAACCTTCCTTTTGAGAGAGCAGTGTTGAAACGGTCTTTTGTAGTATCTGCAAGTGGATATTTGGAGCGATTTGAGGCCTATGATGGAAAAGGAAATATCTTCACATACAAACTAGACAGAAGCATTCTCAGAAACTGCTTTGTGATGTGTGCATTTAACCGACAGATTTGAACTTTCCTGTTGAGAGGGAGGTTTTGAAACAGTCTTTTTGTAGTATCTGCAAGTGGATATTTGTAGTGACTTGGGGCCTCAGGTGGAAAAGGAAATACCTTCATATACAAAGTAGACAGAAGTATTCTCAGAAACTCCATTGTGATGTGTGCACTCAACTCACAGAGTTGAACCTTCCTTCTGAGAGAGCAGTTTTGAAACAGTCTTTTTGTAATGTCTGCAGGTGGATATTTGGAGCGATTCGAGTACTATGATGGAAAAGGAAATATCTTCACATACAAACTAAACAGAAGCATTCCCAGAAACTGCTTTCTGATGTGTGCACTCACGTCACAGAGTGGAACCGTTTTTTTGTTAGACCAGTTTTGAAACAGTCTTTTTGTAAGATCTGCATGTGTTCATTTGGAGCTCTTTGAAGCCTAAGGTGGAAAAGTAAATATATTCATGTAAAACCTAGACCAAAGCCTTCTCAGGAACTTCATTGAGATGTGTGCATTCAACTAACAGAGTTGAAACTGTCTTTAGACAGAGCAGGAGTTAAACACACCTTTTGTAGTATCTGATTGTGTATATTTGGAACTCTTTGAGTTATTCGTTGGAAACGGGTATCTTCACATAAAAAGTAGACCCAAGCATTCTCAGAAGGTTCTTTGTGATGTGTGCGTTCAACTCACAGACTTGAAACTTTCTTTTGATAGAGCAGTGTTGAAACACACTTTTTGTAGAATCCACAAGTATTCATTTGGAGCGCTTTGTTGCCTATGTGGGAAAAAGTAATATCTTCACTTAAAAACTAGAAACAAGCATTCTCTGAAACTCCTCTGTGAAGTGTGTGTTCAATTCACATCGTTGAACCTTTCTTTTGATAGAGCAGTGTTGAAACATACTTTTTGTAGAATCTGCAAGTGTCCATTTCGAGTTCTTTTGTGCGTATGTTGGAAAAAGTGATATCTTCACCTGAAAAATAGACAGAAGCATTCCAGAAACTGCTTTGTAACATGTGCATTCAACTCACAGTGTTGAACCTTCCTTTTGAGAGAGCGGTTTTGAAACAGTCTTTTTGTAGTATCTGCAAGTGGATATTTGCAGTGATTTGAGGCCGAAGAAGGAAAAGGAAATACCTTCAAATAAAAAACTAGACGGAAGCATTTTCAGAAACTGCCTTGTGATGTGTGCATTCAACTCACAGAGTTGAACCTTCCTTTTGAGAGAGAAGTTTTGAAACAGTCTTTTTGTAGTATTTGCAAGTGGGTATTTGGAGCGATTTGTGGAGTATGGTGGAAAATGAAATATCTTCACATACAAACTAGACAGAAGCATTCTCAGAAACTGCTTTGTGATGTGTGCATTTAACTCACGGACTTGAAACTTCCTTTAGATAGAGCAGTGTTGAAACACACTTTTTGTATAATCTACAAGTGTTCTTTGGAGTGCTTTGTTGCCTATGTTGGAAAAAGAAGTATCTTCACATAAAAACTAGACAGAAGCATTCTCAGAAACTCCTTTGTGATGGGTTTGTTCAATTCACATTGTTGAACCTTTCTTTTGATACAGCAGGGTTGAAACAAACATTTTGTAGAATCTGCAAGTGTTCATTTCAAATGCTTTGTGGCCTATGTTGGAAAAAGTGATATCTTCACCTAAAAAATAGACAGAAGCATTCTCAGGAACTGCTTTGTAATATGTGCATTCAACTCACAGAGTTGAACCTTCCTTTTGAGAGAGCGGTTTTGAAACAGTCTTTTTGTAGTATCTGCAAGTGGATATTTGGAGCGATTTGAGGTCTAAGAAGGAAAAGGAAGTACCTTCAAATAAAAACTAGACAGAAGCTTTCTCAGAAACTGCTTTGTGATGTGTGCATTTAACTCAAAGTCTTGATCCTTACTTTTGTTAGAGCAGTGTTGAAACACACTTTTTGTAGAACCTGGTAGTGTTCATTTGGAGAGATTTGTTGCCTATGGTGGAAAAAGGATTATCTTCTCTTAAAAACTAGACAGAAGCATTCTTAGAAACTGCTTTGTGATGTGTGTGTTCAATTCACAGAGTTGAAACTTTCCTTTGACAGAGCAGGTTTGAAACACTGCTTCTGTAGAATCTGCTTGTGGATATTGGGAGCTCCTTGAGGAATACGTTGTAAAAGGCATATCTTCACATACAAACTAGACAGAAGCATTCTCAGAAACTGCTTTGTGATGTGTGCATTCAACTCACAGAGTTGAACCTTCCATTTGAGAGAGCAGTGTTGAAACGGTCTTTTTGTAGTATCTTCAATTGGATATTTGGAGCGATTTGAGGCCTATGATGGAAAAGGAAATATCTTCACATACAAACTAGACAGAAGCATTCTCAGAAACTGCTTTGTGATGTGTGCATTCAACCCACAGAGTTGAACCTTCCTTTTGAGAGAGCAGTGTTGAAACGGTCTTTTGTAGTATCTGCAAGTGGATATTTGGAGCGATTTGAGGCCTATGATGGAAAAGGAAATATCTTCACATACAAACTAGACAGAAGCAGTCTGAGGAACTGCTTTGTGATGTGTGCATTCAACTCACAGATTTGAACTTTCCTTTTGAGAGGGAGGTTTTGAAACAGTCTGTTTGTAGTATCTGCAAGTGGATATTTGTAGTGACTTGGGGCCTCGGATGGAAAAGGAAATACCTTCACATACAAACTAGACAGAAGTATTCTCACAGACTCCATTGTGATGTGTGCACTCAACTCACAGAGTTGAACCTTCCTTTTGAGAGAGCAGTTTTGAAACAGTCTTTTTGTAATGTCTGCAAGTGGATATTTGGAGCGATTCGAGTACTATGATGGAAAAGGAAATATCTTCACATACAAACTAAACGGAAGCATTCTCAGAAACGTCTTCTGATGTGTGCTTTCACCTAACAGAGTGGAACCGTTCTTTTGATAGAGCAGTTTCGAATCAGTCTTTTGGTAGGTCCTGCAAGTTTTCATTTGGAGCGCTTTGAAGCCTATGGTGGAAAAAGGAATATCTTCACAAAAAACTAGGCAGAAGCCTTCTCAGGATCTTCATTGAGATGTGTGCATTCAAGTAACAGAGTTGAAACTGTCTTTTGACAGAGCAGGAATGAAACACTCCTTTTGTAGTATCTGATTGTGTATATTTGGAACTCTTTGAGTTATTCGTTGGGAACGTGTTTCTTCACATAAAAAGTAGACCCAAGCATTCTCAGAAGGTTCTTTGTGATGTGTGCGTTCAACTCACAGACTTGAAACTTTCTTTTGATAGAGCAGTGTTGAAACACACTTTTTGTAGAATCCACAAGTATTCATTTGGAGCGCTTTGTTGCCTACGTGGGAAAAAGGAATATCTTCACTTAAAAACTAGACAGAAGCATTCTCTGAAACTCCTCTGTGAAGTGTGTGTTCAATTCACATCGTTGAACCTTTCTTTTGATAGAGCAGTGTTGAAACATACTTTTTGTAGAATCTGCAAGTGTCCATTTCGAGTTCTTTTGTGCGTATGTTGAAAAAAGTGATATCTTCACCTGAAAAATAGACAGAAGCATTCCAGAAACTGCTTTGTAACATGTGCATTCAACTCACAGTGTTGAACCTTCCTTTTGAGAGAGCGGTTTTGAAACAGTCTTTTTGTAGTATCTGCAAGTGGATATTTGCAGTGATTTGAGGCCGAAGAAGGAAAAGGAAATACCTTCAAATAAAAAACTAGACGGAAGCATTTTCAGAAACTTCCTTGTGATGTGTGCATTCAACTCACAGAGTTGAACCTTCCTTTTGAGAGAGAAGTTTTGAAACAGTCTTTTTGTAGTATTTGCAAGTGGATATTTGGAGCGATTTGTGGAGTATGGTGGAAAATGAAATATCTCCACATACAAACTAGACAGAAGCATTCTCAGAAACTGCTTTGTGATGTGTGCATTTAAGTCACAGACTTGAAACTTCCTTTAGGTAGAGCAGTGTTGAAACACACTTTTTGTATAATCTACAAGTGTTCTTTGGAGTGCTTTGTTGCCTATGTTGGAAAAAGAAATATCTTCACATAAAAACTAGACAGAAGCATTCTCAGAAACTCCTTTGTGATGGGTTTGTTCAATTCACATTGTTGAACCTTTCTTTTGATACAGCAGTGTTGAAACAAACATTTTGTAGAATCTGCAAGTGCTCATTTCAAATGCTTTGTGGCCTATGTTGGAAAAAGTGATACCTTCACCTAAAAAATAGGCAGAAGCATTCTCAGGAACTGCTTTGTGATGTGTGCATTCAACTCACAGAGTTGAACCTTCCTTTTGAGAGAGCGGTTTTGAAAGAGTCTTTTTGTAGTATCTGCAAGTGGATATTTGGAGCGATTTGAGGTCTAAGAAGGAAAAGGAAGCACCTTCAAATAAAAACTAGACAGAAGCTTTCTCAGAAACTGCTTTGTGATGTGTGCATTTAACTCAAAGTCTTGATCCTTACTTTTGTTAGAGCAGTGTTGAAACACACTTTTTGTAGAACCTGGTAGTGTTCATTGGGAGAGATTTGTTGCCTATGGTGGAAAAAGGATTATCTTCTCTTAAAAACTAGACAGAAGCATTCTTAGAAACTGCTTTGTGATGTGTGTGTTCAATTCACAGAGTTGAAACTTTCCTTTGATAGAGCAGGTTTGAAACACTGCTTTTGTAGAATCTGCTTGTGGATATTGGGAGCTCCTTGAGGAATACGTTGTAAAAGGCATATCTTCACATACAAACTAGACAGAAGCATTCTCAGAAACTGCTTTGTGATGTGTGCATTCAACTCACAGAGTTGAACCTTCCATTTGAGAGAGCAGTGTTGAAACAGTCTTTTTGTAGTATCTTCAAGTGGATATTTGGAGCGATTTGAGGCCTATGATGGAAAAGGAAATATCTTCACATACAAACTAGACAGAAGCATTCTCAGAAACTGCTTCGTGATGTGTGCATTCAACCCACAGAGTTGAACCTTCCTTTTGAGGGAGCAGTGTTGAAACGGTCTTTTCTAGAATCTGCAAGTGGATAATTGGAGCGATTTGAGGCCTAGGATGGAAAAGGAAATATCTTCACATACAAACTAGACAGAAGCATTCTCAGAAACTGCTTTGTGATGTGTGCGTTCAACCGAGAGATTTGAACTTTCCTTTTGAGAGGGAGGTTTTGAAACAGTCTTTTTGTAGTATCTGCAAGTGGATATTTGTAGTGACTTGGGGCCTCAGATGGAAAAGGAAATACCTTCACATACAAACTAGACAGAAGTATTCTCAGAAACTCCATTGTGATGTGTGCACTCAACTCACAGAGTTGAACCTTCCTTTTGAGAGAGCAGTTTTGAAACAGTCTTTTTGTAATGGCTGCAGGTGGATATTTGGAGCGATTCGAGTACTATGATGGAAAAGGAAATATCTTCACATACAAACTAAACAGAAGCATTCTCAGAAACTTCTTGTGATGTGTGCGTTCACCTAACAGAGTGGAACCGTTCTTTTGATAGAGCCGTTTTGAATCAGTCTTTTGGTAGGACCTGCAAGTTTTCATTTGGAGCGCTTTGAAGCCCATGGTGGAAAAGGGACTATCTTCACAAAAAACTAGGCAGAAGCCTTCTCAGGAACTTCATTGAGATGTGTGCATTCAACTAACAGAGTTGAAACTGTCTTTTGACAGAGGAGGAATGAAACACTCCTTTTGTAGTATCTGATTGTGTATATTTGGAACTCTTTGAGTTATTCGTTGGAAACGGGTATCTTCACATAAAAAGTAGACCCAAGCATTCTCAGAAGGTTCTTTGTGATGTGTGCGTTCAACTCACAGACTTGAAACTTTCTTTTGATAGAGCAGTGTTGAAACACACTTTTTGTAGAATCCACAAGTATTCCTTTGGAGCGCTTTGTTGCCTATGTGGGAAAAAGGAATATCTTCACTTAAAAACTAGACAGAAGCATTCTCTGAAACTCCTCTGTGAAGTGTGTGTTCAATTCACATCGTTGAACCTTTCTTTTGATAGAGCAGTGTTGAAACATACTTTTTGTAGAATCTGCAAGTGTCCATTTCGAGTTCTTTTGTGCGTATGCTGGAAAAAGTGATATCTTCACCTGAAAAATAGACAGAAGCATTCCAGAAACTGCTTTGTAACATGTGCATTCAACTCACAGTGTTGAACCTTCCTTTTGAGAGAGCGGTTTTGAAACAGTCTTTTTGTAGTATCTGCAAGTGGATATTTGCAGTGATTTGAGGCCGAAGAAGGAAAAGGAAATACCTTCAAATAAAAAACTAGACGGAAGCATTTTCAGAAACTGCCTTGTGATGTGTGCATTCAACTCACAGAGTTGAACCTTCCTTTTGAGAGAGAAGTTTTGAAACAGTCTTTTTGTAGTATTTGCAAGTGGATATTTGGAGCGATTTGTGGAGTATGGTGGAAAATGAAATACCTTCACATACAAAGTAGACAGAAGCATTCTCAGAAACTGCTTTGTGATGTGTGCATTTAAGTCACAGACTTGAAACTTCCTTTAGGTAGAGCAGTGTTGAAACACACTTTTTGTATAATCTACAAGTGTTCTTTGGAGTGCTTTGTTGCCTATGTTGGAAAAAGAAATATCTTCACATAAAAACTAGACAGAAGCATTCTCAGAAACTCCTTTGTGATGGGTGTGTTCAATTCACATTGTTGAACCTTTCTTTTGATACAGCAGTGTTGAAACAAACATTTTGTAGAATCTGCAAGGGTTCATTTCAAATGCTTTGTGGCCTCTGTTGGAAAAAGTGATATGTTCACCTAAAAAATAGACAGAAGCATTCTCAGGAACTGCTTTGTAATATGTGCATTCAACTCACAGAGTTGAACCTTCCTTTTGAGAGAGCGGTTTTGAAACAGTCTTTTTGTAGTATCTGCAAGTGGATATTTGGAGCGATTTGATGTCTAAGAAGGAAAAGGAAGTACCTTCAAATAAAAACTACACAGAAGCTTTCTCAGAAACTGCTTTGTGATGTGTGCATTTAACTCAAAGTCTTGATCCTTACTTTTGTTAGAGCAGTGTTGAAACACATTTTTGTAGAACCTGGTAGTGTTCATTTGGAGAGATTTGTTGCCTATGGTGGAAAAAGGATTATCTTCTCTTAAAAACTAGACAGAAGCATTCTTAGAAACTGCTTTGTGATGTGTGTGTTCAATTCACAGAGTTGAAACTTTCCTTTGACAGAGCAGGTTTGAAACACTGCTTCTGTAGAATCTGCTTGTGGATATTGGGAGCTCCTTGAGGAATACGTTGTAAAAGGCATATCTTCACATACAAACTAGACAGAAGCATTCTCAGAAACTGCTTTGTGATGTGCGCATTCAACTCACAGAGTTGAACCTTCCATTTGAGAGAGCAGTGTTGAAACGGTCTTTTTGTAGTATCTTCAATTGGATATTTGGAGCGATTTGAGGCCTATGATGGAAAAGGAAATATCTTCACATACAAACTAGACAGAAGCATTCTCAGAAACTGCTTTGTGATGTGTGCATTCAACCCACAGAGTTGAACCTTCCTTTTGAGAGAGCAGTGTTGAAACGGTCTTTTGTAGTATCTGCAAGTGGATATTTGGAGCGATTTGAGGGCTATGATGGAAAAGGAAATATCTTCACATACAAACTAGACAGAAGCAGTCTCAGGAACTGCTTTGTGATGTGTGCATTCAACTCACAGATTTGAACTTTCCTTTTGAGAAGGAGGTTTTGAAACTGTCTTTTTGTAGTATCTACAAGTGGATATTTGTAGTGACTTGGGGCCTCAGATGGAAAAGAAAATACCTTCACATACAAACTAGAAAGAAGTATTCTGAGAAACTCCATTGTGATGTGTGCACTCAACTCACAGAGTTGAACCTTCCTTTTGAGAGAGCAGTTTTGAAACAGTCTTTTTGTAATGTCTGCAGGTGGATATTTGGAGCGATTCGAGTACTATGATGGAAAAGGAAATATCTTCACATACAAACTAAACAGAAGCATTCTCAGAAACTTCTTGTGATGTGTGCATTCACCTAACAGAGTGGAACCGTTCTTTTGATAGAGCAGTTTTGAATCAGTCTTTTGGTAGGACCTGCAAGTTTTCATTTGGAGCGCTTTGAAGCCCATGGTGGAAAAGGGACTATCTTCACAAAAAACTAGGCAGAAGCCTTCTCACGAACTTCATTGAGATGTGTGCATTCAACTAACAGAGTTGAAACTGTCTTTTGTCAGAGGAGGAATGAAACACTGCTTTTGTAGTATCTGATTGTGTATATTTGGAACTCTTTGAGTTATTCGTTGGAAACGGGTATCTTCACATGAAAAGTAGACCCAAGCATTCTCAGAAGGTCCTTTGTGATGTGTGCGTTCAACTCACAGACTTGAAACTTTCTTTTGATAGAGCAGTGTTGAAACACACTTTTTGTAGAATCCACAAGTATTCATTTGGAGCGCTTTGTTGCCTATGTGGGAAAAAGGAATATCTTCACTTAAAAACTAGACAGAAGCATTCTCTGAAACTCCTCTGTGAAGTGTGTGTTCAATTCACATCGTTGAACCTTTCTTTTGATGGAGCAGTGTTGAAACATACTTTTTGTAGAATCTGCAAGTGTCCATTTCGAGTTCTTTTGTGCGTATGTTGGAAAAAGTGATTTCTTCACCTGAAAAATAGACAGAAGCATTCCAGAAACTGCTTTGTAACATGTGCATTCAACTCACAGTGTTGAACCTTCCTTTTGAGAGAGCGGTTTTGAAACAGTCTTTTTGTAGTATCTGCAAGTGGATATTTGCAGTGATTTGAGGCCGAAGAAGGAAAAGGAAATACCTTCAAATAAAAAACTAGACGGAAGCATTCTCAGAAACTGCTTTGTGATGTTTGCATTCAACTCACAGAGTTGAACCTTCCTTTTGAGAGAGAAGTTTTGAAACAGTCTTTTTGTAGTATTTGCAAGTGGATATTTGGAGCGATTTGTGGAGTATGGTGGAAAATGAAATATCTTCACATACAAACTAGACAGAAGCATTCTCAGAAACTGCTTTGTGATGTGTGCATTTAAGTCACAGACTTGAAACTTCCTTTAGGTAGAGCAGTGTTGAAACACAGTTTTTGTATAATCTACAAGTGTTCTTTGGAGTGCTTTGTTGCCTATGTTGGAAAAAGAACTATCTTCACATAAAAACTAGACAGAAGCATTCTCAGAAACTCCTTTGTAATGGGTTTGTTCAATTCACATTGTTGAACCTTTCTTTTGATACAGCAGTGTTGAAACAAACATTTTGTAGAATCTGCAAGGGTTCATTTCAAATGCTTTGCGGCCTATGTTGGAAAAAGTGATATCTTCACCTAAAAAATAGACAGAAGCATTCTCAGGAACTGCTTTGTAATATGTGCATTCAACTCACAGAGTTGAACCTTCCTTTTGAGAGAGCGGTTTTGAAACAGTCTTTTTGTAGTATCTGCAAGTGGATATTTGGAGCGATTTGAGGTCTAAGAAGGAAAAGGAAGTACCTTCAAATAAAAACTAGACAGAAGCTTTCTCAGAAACAGCTTTGTGATGTGTGCATTTAACTCAAAGTCTTGATCCTTACTCTTGTTAGAGCAGTGTTGAAACACACTTTTTGTAGAACCTGGTAGTGTTCATTTGGAGAGATTTGTTGCCTATGGTGGAAAAAGGATTATCTTCTCTTAAAAACTAGACAGAAGCATTCTTAGAAACTGCTTTGTGATGTGTGTGTTCAATTCACAGAGTTGAAAATTTCCTTTGATAGAGCAGTTTTGAAACACTGCTTTTGTAGAATCTGCTTGTGGATATTGGGAGCTCTTTGAGGAATACGTTGTAAAAGGCATATCTTCACATACAAACTAGACAGAAGCATTCTCAGAAACTGCTTTGTGATGTGTGCATTCAACTCACAGAGTTGAACCTTCCATTGGAGAGAGCAGTGTTGAAACGGTATTTTTGTAGTATCTGCAAGTGGATATTTGGAGCGATTTAAGGCCTATGATGGAAAAGCAAATATCTTCACATACAAACTAGACAGAAGCATTCTCAGAAACTGCTTTGTGATGTGTGCATTCAACCCACAGAGTTGAACCTTCCTTTTGAGAGAGCAGTGTTGAAACGGTCTTTTGAAGTATCTGCAAGTGGATATTTGGAGCGATTTGAGGCCTATGATGGAAAAGGAAATATCTTCACATACAAACTAGACAGAAGCATTCTCAGAAACTGCTTTGTGATGTGTGCATTCAACCGACAGATTTGAACTTTCCTTTGGAGAGGGAGGTTTTGAAACAGTCTTTTTGTAGTATCTGCAAGTGGATATTTGTAGTGACTTGGGGCCTCAGGTGGAAAAGGAAATACCTTCACATACAAAGTAGACAGAAGTATTCTCAGAAACTCCATTGTGATGTGTGCACTGAACTCACAGAGTTGAACCTTCCTTTTGAGAGAGCAGTTTTGAAACAGTCTTTTTGTAACGTCTGCAGGTGGATATTTGGAGCGAATCGTGTAGTATGATGGAAAAGGAAATATCTTCACATACAAACTAAACAGAAGCATTCTCAGAAACTTCTTGTGATGTGTGCATTCACCTAACAGAGTGGAACCGTTCTTTTGATAGAGCAGTTTTGAATCTGTCTTTTGGTAGGACCTGCAAGTTTTCATTTGGAGCGCTTTGAAGCCCATGGTGGAAAAGGGACTATCATCTTCACAAAAAACTAGGCAGAAGCCTTCTCAGGAACTTCATTGAGATGTGTGCATTCAACTAACAGAGTTGAAACTGTCTTTTGACAGAGCAGGAATGAAACACTCCTTTCGTAGTATCTGATTGTGTATATTTGGAACTCTTTGAGTTATTCGTTGGAAACGGGTATCTTCACATAAAAAGTAGACCCAAGCATTCTCAGAAGGTTCTTTGTGATGTGTGCGTTCAACTCACAGACTTGAAACTTTCTTTTGATAGAGCAGTGTTGAAACACACTTTTTGTAGAATCCACAAGTATTCATTTGGAGCGCTTTGTTGCCTATGTGGGAAAAAGGAATATCTTCACTTAAAAACTAGACAGAAGTATTCTCTGAAACTCCTCTGTGAAGTGTGTGTTCATTTCACATCGTTGAACCTTTCTTTTGATAGAGCAGTGTTGAAACATACTTTTTGTAGAATCTGCAAGTGTCCATTTCGAGTTCTTTTGTGCGTATGTTGGAAAAAGTGATATCTTCACCTGAAAAATAGACAGAAGCATTCCAGAAACTGCTTTGTAACATATGCATTCAACTCACAGTGTTGAACCTTCCTTTTGAGAGAGCGGTTTTGAAACAGTCTTTTTGTAGTATCTGCAAGTGGATATTTGCAGTGATTTGAGGCCGAAGAAGGAAAAGGAAATACCTTCAAATAAAAAACTAGACGGAAGCATTTTCAGAAACTGCCTTGTGATGTGTGCATTCAACTCACAGAGTTGAACCTTCCTTTTGAGAGAGAAGTTTTGAAACAGTCTTTTTGTAGTATTTGCAAGTGGATATTTGGAGCGATTTGTGGAGTATGGTGGAAAATGAAATACCTTCACATACAAAGTAGACAGAAGCATTCTCAGAAACTGCTTTGTGATGTGTGCATTTAAGTCACAGACTTGAAACTTCCTTTAGGTAGAGCAGTGTTGAAACACACTTTTTGTATAATCTACAAGTGTTCTTTGGAGTGCTTTGTTGCCTATGTTGGAAAAAGAAATATCTTCACATAAAAACTAGACAGAAGCATTCTCAGAAACTCCTTTGTGATGGGTTTGTTCAATTCACATTGTTGAACCTTTCTTTTGATACAGCAGTGTTGAAACAAACATTTTGTAGAATCTGCAAGGGTTCATTTCAAATGCTTTGCAGCCTATGTTGGAAAAAGTGATATCTTCACCTAAAAAATAGACAGAAGCATTCTCAGGAACTGCTTTGTAATATGTGCATTCAACTCACAGAGGTGAACCTTTCTTTTGAGAGAGCGGTTTTGAAACAGTCTTTTTGTAGTATCTGCAAGTGGATATTTGGAGCGATTTGAGGTCTAAGAAGTAAAAGGAAATACCTTCAAATAAAAACTAGACAGAAGCTTTCTCAGAAACTGCTTTGTGATGTGTGCATTTAACTCAAAGTCTTGATCCTTACTTTTGTTAGAGCAGTGTTGAAACACACTTTTTGTAGAACCTGGTAGTGTTCATTTGGAGAGATTTGTTGCCTATGGTGGAAAAAGGATTATCTTCTCTTAAAAACTAGACAGAAGCATTCTTAGAAACTGCTTTGTGATGTGTGTGTTCAATTCACAGAGTTGAAACTTTCCTTTGACAGAGCAGGTTTGAAACACTGCTTCTGTAGAATCTGCTTGTGGATATTGGGAGCTCCTTGAGGAATACATTGTAAAAGGCATATCCTCACATACAAACTAAACAGAAGCATTCTGAGAAACTGCTTTGTGATGTGTGCATTCAACTCACAGAGTTGAACCTTCCATTTGAGAGAGCAGTGTTGAAACGATCTTTTTGTAGTATCTTCAATTGGATATTTGGAGCGATTTGAGGCCTATGATGGAAAAGGAAATATCTTCACATACAAACTAGACAGAAGCATTCTCAGAAACTGCTTTGTGATGTGTGCATTCAACCCACAGAGTTGAACCTTCCTTTTGAGAGAGCAGTGTTGAAACGGTCTTTTGTAGTATCTGCAAGTGGATATTTGGAGCGATTTGAAGCCTATGATGGAAAAGGAAATATCTTCACATACAAACTAGACAGAAGCATTCTCAGAAACTGCTTTGTGATGTGTGCATTCAACCGACAGATTTGAACTTTCCTTTGGAGAGGGAGGTTTTGAAACAGTCTTTTTGTAGTATCTGCAAGTGGATATTTGTAGTGACTTGGGGCCTCAGGTGGAAAAGGAAATACCTTCACATACAAAGTAGACAGAAGTATTCTCAGAAACTCCATTGTGATGTGTGCACTCAACTCACAGAGTTGAACCTTCCTTTTGAGAGAGCCGTTTTGAAACAGTTTTTTTGTAACATCTGCAGGTGGATATTTGGAGCGATTCGTGTAGTATGATGGAAAAGGAAATATCTTCACATACAAACTAAACAGAAGCATTCTCAGAAACTTCTTGTGATGTGTGCATTCACCTAACAGAGTGGAACCGTTCTTTTGATAGAGCAGTTTTGAATCAGTCTTTTGGTAGGACCTGCAAGTTTTCATTTGGAGCGCTTTGAAGCCCATGGTGGAAAAGGGACTATCTTCACAAAAAACTAGGCAGAAGCCTTCTCAGGAACTTCATTGAGATGTGTGCATTCAACTAACAGAGTTGAAACTGTCTTTTGACAGAGCAGGAATGAAACACTCCTTTTGTAGTATCTGATTGTGTATATTTGGAACTCTTTGAGTTATTCGTTGGAAACGGGTATCTTCACATAAAAAGTAGACCCAAGCATTCTCAGAAGGTTCTTTGTGATGTGTGCGTTCAACTCACAGACTTGAAACTTTCTTTTGATAGAGCAGTGTTGAAACACACTTTTTGTAGAATCCACAAGTATTCCTTTGGAGCGCTTTGTTGCCTATGTGGGAAAAAGGAATATCTTCACTTAAAAACTAGACAGAAGCATTCTCTGAAACTCCTCTGTGAAGTGTGTGTTCAACTCACATCGTTGAACCTTTCTTTTGATAGAGCAGTGTTGAAACATACTTTTTGTAGAATCTGCAAGTGTCCATTTCGAGTTCTTTTGTGCGTATGTTGGAAAAAGTGATATCTTCACCTGAAAAATAGACAGAAGCATTCCAGAAACTGCTTTGTAACATGTGCATTCAACTCACAGTGTTGAACCTTCCTTTTGAGAGAGCGGTTTTGAAACAGTCTTTTTGTAGTATCTGCAAGTGGATATTTGCAGTGATTTGAGGCCGAAGAAGGAAAAGGAAACACCTTCAAATAAAAAACTAGACGGAAGCATTTTCAGAAACTGCCTTGTGATGTGTGCATTCAACTCACAGAGTTGAACCTTCCTTTTGAGAGAGAAGTTTTGAAACAGTCTTTTTGTAGTATTTGCAAGTGGATATTTGGAGCGATTTGTGGAGTATGGTGGAAAATGAAATACCTTCACATACAAAGTAGACAGAAGCATTGTCAGAAACTGCTTTGTGATGTGTGCATTTAAGTCACAGACTTGAAACTTCCTTTAGGTAGAGCAGTGTTGAAACACACTTTTTGTATAATCTACAAGTGTTCTTTGGAGTGCTTTGTTGCCTATGTTGGAAAAAGAAATATCTTCACATAAAAACTAGACAGAAGCATTCTCAGAAACTCCTTTGTGATGGGTGTGTTCAATTCACATTGTTGAACCTTTCTTTTGATACAGCAGTGTTGAAACAAACATTTTGTAGAATCTGCAAGTGTTCATTTCAAATGCTTTGTGGCCTATGTTGGAAAAAGTGATATCTTCACCTAAAAAATAGACAGAAGCATTCTCAGGAACTGCTTTGTAATATGTGCATTCAACTCACAGAGTTGAACCTTCCTTTTGAGAGAGCGGTTTTGAAACAGTCTTTTTGTAGTATCTGCAAGTGGATATTTGGAGCGATTTGAGGTCTAAGAAGGAAAAGGAAGTACCTTCAAATAAAAACTACACAGAAGGTTTCTCAGAAACTGCTTTGTGATGTGTGCATTTAACTCAAAGTCTTCATCCTTACTTTTGTTAGAGCAGTGTTGAAACACACTTTTTGTAGAACCTGGTAGTGTTCATTTGGAGAGATTTGTTGCCTATGGTGGAAAAAGGATTATCTTCTCTTAAAAACTAGACAGAAGCATTCTTAGAAACTGCTTTGTGATGTGTGTGTTCAATTCACAGAGTTGAGACTTTCCTTTGACAGAGCAGGTTTGAAACACTGCTTCTGTAGAATCTGCTTGTGGATATTGGGAGCTCCTTGAGGAATACGTTGTAAAAGGCATATCTTCACATACAAACTAGACAGAAGCATTCTCAGAAACTGCTTTGTGATGTGTGCATTCAACTCACAGAGTTGAACCTTCCATTTGAGAGAGCAGTGTTGAAACAGTCTTTTTGTAGTATCTTCAAGTGGATATTTGGAGCGATTTGAGGCCTATGATGGAAAAGGAAATATCTTCACATACAAACTAGACAGAAGCATTCTCAGAAACTGCTTTGTGATGTGTGCATTCAACCCACAGAGTTGAACCTTCCTTTTGAGAGAGCAGTGTTGAAACGGTCTTTTGTAGTATCTGCAAGTGGATATTTGGAGCGATTTGAAGCCTATGATGGAAAAGGAAATATCTTCACATACAAACTAGACAGAAGCATTCTCAGAAACTGCTTTGTGATGTGTGCATTTAACCGACAGATTTGAACTTTCCTGTTGAGAGGGAGGTTTTGAAACAGTCTTTTTGTAGTATCTGCAAGTGGATATTTGTAGTGACTTGAGGCCTTAGGTGGAAAAGGAAATACCTTCATATACAAAGTAGACAGAAGTATTCTCAGAAACTCCATTGTTATGTGTGCACTCAACTCACAGTAGTTGAACCTTCCTTTTGAGAGAGCAGTTTTGAAACAGTCTTTTTGTAATGTCTGCCAGTGGATATTTGGAGCGATTCGAGTACTATGATGGAAAAGGAAATATCTTCACATACAAACTAAACAGAAGCATTCTCAGAAACGTCTTCTGATGTGTGCGTTCACCTAACAGAGTGGAACCGTTCTTTTGATAGAGCAGTTTCGAATCAGTCTTTTGGTAGGTCCTGCAAGTTTTCATTTGGAGCGCTTTGAAGCCTATGGTGGAAAAGGGCATATCTTCACAAAAAACTAGGCAGAAGCCTTCTCAGGATCTTCATTGAGATGTGTGCATTCAACTAACAGATTTGAAACTGTCTTTTGACAGAGCAGGAATGAAACACTCCTTTTGTAGTATCTGATTGTGTATATTTGGAACTCTTTGAGTTATTCGTTGGAAACGGGTATCTTCACATAAAAAGTAGACCCAAGCATTCTCAGAAGATTCTTTGTGATGTGTGCGTTCAACTCACAGACTTGAAACTTTCTTTTGATAGAGCAGTGTTGAAACACACTTTTTGTAGAATCCACAAGTATTCGTTTGGAGCACTTTGTTGCCTATGTGGGAAAAAGGAATATCTTCACTTAAAAACTAGACAGAAGCATTCTCTGAAACTCCTGTGTGAAGTGTGTGTTCAATTCACATCGTTGAACCTTTCTTTTGATAGAGCAGTGTTGAAACATACTTTTTGGAGAATCTGCAAGTGTCCATTTCGAGTTCTTTTGTGCGTATGTTGTAAAAAGTGATATCTTCACCTGAAAAATAGACAGAAGCATTCTCAGAAACTGCTTTGTAACATGTGCATTCAACTCACAGAGTTGAACCTTCCTTTTGAGAGAGCGGTTTTGAAACAGTCTTTTTGTAGTATCTGCAAGTGGATATTTGCAGTGATTTGAGGCCGAAGAAGCAAAAGGAAATACCTTCAAATAAAAAAACTAGACGGAAGCATTTTCAGAAACTGCCTTGTGATGTGTGCATTCAACTCACAGAGTTGAACCTTCCTTTTGAGAGAGAAGTTTTGAAACAGTCTTTTGGTAGTATTTGGAAGTGGATATGTGGAGCGATTTGAGGCCTATGATGGAAAAGGAAATAACTTCAGATACAAACTAGACAGAAGCATTCTCAGAAACTGCTTTGTGATGTGTGCATTTAAGTCACAGACTTGAAACTTCCTTTATGTAGAGCAGTGTTGAAACACACTTTTTGTATAATCTACATGTGTTCTTTGGAGTGCTTTGCTGCCTATGTTGGAAAAAGAAATATCTTCACATAAAAACTAGACAGAAGCATTCTCAGAAACTCCTTTGTGATGGGTTTGTTCAATTCACATTGTTGAACCTTTCTTTTGATACAGCAGTGTTGAAACAAACATTTTGTGGAATCTGCAAGTGTTCATTTCAAATGCTTTGTGGCCTATGTTGGAAAAAGTGATATCTTCACCTAAAAAATAGACAGAAGCATTCTCAGGAACTGCTTTGTAATATGTGCATTCAACTCACAGAGTTGAACCTTCCTTTTGAGAGAGCGGTTTTGAAACAGTCTTTTTGTAGTATCTGCAAGTGGATATTTGGAGCGATTTGAGGTCTAAGAAGGAAAAGGAAGTACCTTCAAATAAAAACTAGACAGAAGCTTTCTCAGAAACTGCTTTGTGATGTGTGCATTTAACTCAAAGTCTTGATCCTTACTTTTGTTAGAGCAGTGTTGAAACACACTTTTTGTAGAACCTGGTAGTGTTCATTTGGAGAGATTTGTTGCCTATGGTGGAAAAAGGATTATCTTCTCTTAAAAACTAGACAGAAGCATTCTTAGAAACTGCTTTGTGATGTGTGTGTTCAATTCACATAGTTGAAACTTTCCTTTGATAGAGCAGGTTTGAAACACTGCTTTTGTAGAATCTGCTTGTGGATATTGGGAGCTCCTTGAGGAATACGTTGTAAAAGGCATATCTTCACATACAAACTAGACAGAAGCATTCTCAGAAACTGCTTTGTGATGTGTGCATTCAACTCACAGAGTTGAACCTTCCATTTGAGAGAGCAGTGTTGAAACAGTCTTTTTGTAGTATCTTCAAGTGGATATTTGGAGCGATTTGAGGCCTATGATGGAAAAGGAAATATCTTCACATACAAACTAGACAGAAGCATTCTCAGAAACTGCTTTGTGATGTGGGCATTCAACCCACAGAGTTGAACCTTCCTTTTGAGAGAGCAGTGTTGAAACGGTCTTTTGTAGTATCTGCAAGTGGATATTTGGAGCGATTTGAGGTCTATGATGGAAAAGGAAATATCTTCACATACAAACTAGACAGAAGCATTCTCAGAAACTGCTTTGTGATGTGTGCATTCAACCGACAGATTTGAACTTTCCTTTTGAGAGGGAGGTTTTGAAACAGTCTTTTTGTAGTATCTGCAAGTGGATATTTGTAATGACTTGGGGCCTCAGGTGGAAAAGGAAATACCTTCACATACAAAGTAGACAGAAGTATTCTCAGAAACTCCATTGTGATGTGTGCACTCAACTCACAGGGTTGAACCTTCCTTTTGAGAGAGCAGTTTTGAAACAGTCTTTTTGTAACGTCTGCAGGTGGATATTTGGAGCGATTCGTGTAGTATGATGGAAAAGGAAATATCTTCACATACAAACTAAACAGAAGCATTCTCAGAAACGTCTTGTGATGTGTGCCTTCACCTAACAGAGTGGAACCGTTCTTTTGATAGAGCAGTTTTGAATCAGTCTTTTGGTAGGACCTGCAAGTTTTCATTTGGAGTGCTTTGAAGCCTATGGTGGAAAAGGGAATATCTTCACAAAAAACTAGGCAGAAGCCTTCTCAGGAACTTCATTGAGATTTGTGCATTCAACTAACAGAGTTGAAACTGTCTTTTGACAGAGCAGGAATGAAGCACTCCTTTTGTAATATCTGATTGTGTATATTTGGAACTCTTTGAGTTATTCGTTGGAAACGGGTATCTTCACATAAAAAGTAGACCCAAGCATTCTCAGAAGGTTCTTTGTGATGTGGGCGTTCAACTCACAGACTTGAAACTTTCTTTTGATAGAGCAGTGTTGAAACACACTTTTTGTAGAATCCAGAAGTATTCGTTTGGAGTGCTTTGTTGCCTATGTGGGAAAAAGGAATATCTTCACTTAAAAACTAGACAGAAGCATTCCCTGAAACTACTCTGTGAGGTGTGTGTTCAATTCACATCGTTGAACCTTTCTTTTGATAGAGCAGTGTTGTAACATACTTTTTGTAGAATCTGCAAGTGTCCATTTCGAGTTCTTTTGTGCGTATGTTGTAAAAAGTGATATCTTCACCTGAAAAATAGACAGAAGCATTCCAGAAACTGCTTTGTAACATGTGCATTCAACTCACAGTGTTGAACCTTCCTTTTGACAGAGCGGTTTTGAAACAGTCTTTTTGTAGTATCTGCAAGTGGATATTTGCAGTGATTTGAGGCCGAAGAAGGAAAAGGAAATACCTTCAAATACAAAACTAGAAGGAAGCATTCTCAGAAACTGCTTTGTGATGTGTGCATTCAACCCACAGAGTTGAACCTTCCTTTTGAGAGAGAAGTTTTGAAACAGTCTTTTTGTAGTATTTGCAAGTGGATATTTGGAGCGATTTGTGGAGTATGGTGGAAAATGAAATATCTTCACATACAAAGTAGACAGAAGCATTCTCAGAAACTGCTTTGTGATGTGTGCATTTAAGTCACAGACTTGAAACTTCCTTTAGGTAGAGCAGTGTTGAAACACACTTTTTGTATAATCTACAAGTGTTCTTTGGAGTGCTTTGTTGCCTATGTTGGAAAAAGAAATATCTTCACATAAAAACTAGACAGAAGCATTCTCAGAACCTCCTTTGTGATGGGTTTGTTCAATTCACATTGTTGAAGCTTTCTTTTGATACAGCAGTGTTGAAACAAACATTTTGTAGAATCTGCAAGGGTTCATTTCAAATGCTTTGTGGCCTCTGTTGGAAAAAGTGATATGTTCACCTAAAAAATAGACAGAAGCATTCTCAGGAACTGCTTTGTAATATGTGCATTCAACTCACAGAGTTGAACCTTCCTTTTGAGAGAGCGGTTTTGAAACAGTCTTTTTGTAGTATCTGCAAGTGGATATTTGGAGCGATTTGAGGTCTAAGAAGGAAAAGGAAGTACCTTCAAATAAAAACTAGACAGAAGCTTTCTCAGAAACTGCTTTGTGATGTGTGCATTTAACTCAAAGTCTTGATCCTTACTTTTGTTAGAGCAGTGTTGAAACACACTTTTTGTAGAACCTGGTAGTGTTCATTTGGAGAGATTTGTTGCCTATGGTGGAAAAAGGATTATCTTCTCTTAAAAACTAGACAGAAGCATTCTTAGAAACTGCTTTGTGATGTGTGTGTTCAATTCACAGAGTTGAAACTTTCCTTTGACAGAGCAGGTTTGAAACACTGCTTCTGTAGAATCTGCTTGTGGATATTGGGAGCTCCTTGAGGAATACGTTGTAAAAGGCATATCTTCACATACAAACTAGACAGAAGCATTCTGAGAAACTGCTTTGTGATGTGTGCATTCAACTCACAGAGTTGAACCTTCCATTTGAGAGAGCAGTGTTGAAACGATCTTTTTGTAGTATCTTCAATTGGATATTTGGAGCGATTTGAGGCCTATGATGGAAAAGGAAATATCTTCACATACAAACTAGACAGAAGCATTCTCAGAAACTGCTTTGTGATGTGTGCATTCAACCCACAGAGTTGAACCTTCCTTTTGAGAGAGCAGTGTTGAAACGGTCTTTTGTAGTATCTGCAAGTGGATATTTGGAGCGATTTGAGGCCTATGATGGAAAAGGAAATATCTTCACATACAAACTAGACAGAAGCATTCTCAGAAACTGCTTTGTGATGTGTGCATTCAACCGACAGATTTGAACTTTCCTTTGGAGAGGGAGGTTTTGAAACAGTCTTTTTGTAGTATCTGCAAGTGGATATTTGTAGTGACTTGGGGCCTCAGGTGGAAAAGGAAATACCTTCACATACAAAGTAGACAGAAGTATTCTCAGAAACTCCATTGTGATGTGTGCACTCAACTCACAGAGTTGAACCTTCCTTTTGAGAGAGCAGTTTTGAAACAGTCTTTTTGTAACGTCTGCAGGTGGATATTTGGAGCGATTCGTGTAGTATGATGGAAAAGGAAATATCTTCACATACAAACGAAACAGAAGCATTCTCAGAAACTTCTTGTGATGTGTGCGTTCACCTAACAGAGTGGAACCGTTCTTTTGATAGAGCCGTTTTGAATCAGTCTTTTGGTAGGACCTGCAAGTATTCATTTGGAGCGCTTTGAAGCCCATGGTGGAAAAGGGACTATCTTCACAAAAAACTAGGCAGAAGCCTTCTCAGGATCTTCATTGAGATGTGTGCATTCAACTAACAGAGTTGAAACTGTCTTTTGACAGAGCAGGAATGAAACACTCATTTTGTAGTATCTGATTGTGTATATTTGGAACTCTTTGAGTTATTCGTTGGGAACGGGTATCTTCACATAAAAAGTAGACCCAAGCATTCTCAGAAGGTTCTTTGTGATGTGGGCGTTCAACTCACAGACTTGAAACTTTCTTTTGATAGAGCAGTGTTGAAACACACTTTTTGTAGAATCCAGAAGTATTCGTTTGGAGCGCTTTGTTGCCTATGTGGGAAAAAGGAATATCTTCACTTAAAAACTAGACAGAAGCATTCTCTGAAACTCCTCTGTGAAGTGTGTGTTCATTTCACATCGTTGAACCTTTCTTTTGATAGAGCAGTGTTGAAACATACTTTTTGTAGTATCTGCAAGTGTCCATTTCGAGTTCTTTTGTGCGTATGTTGGAAAAAGTGATATCTTCACCTGAAAAATAGACAGAAGCATTCCAGAAACTGCTTTGTAACATGTGCATTCAACTCACAGTGTTGAACCTTCCTTTTGAGAGAGCGGTTTTGAAACAGTCTTTTTGTAGTATCTGCAAGTGGATATTTGCAGTGATTTGAGGCCGAAGAAGGAAAAGGAAACACCTTCAAATAAAAAACTAGATGGAAGCATTTTCGGAAACTGCCTTGTGATGTGTGCATTCAACTCACAGAGTTGAACCTTCCTTTTGAGAGAGAAGTTTTGAAACAGTCTTTTTGTAGTATTTGCAAGTGGATATTTGGAGCGATTTGTGGAGTATGGTGGAAAATGAAATATCTTCACATACAAACTAGACAGAAGCATTATCAGAAACTGCTTTGTGATGTGTGCATTTAACTCACAGACTTGAAACTTCCTTTAGATAGAGCAGTGTTGAAGCACACTTTTTGTATAATCTACAAGTGTTCTTTGGTGTGCTTTGTTGCCTATGTTGGAAAAAGAAATATCTTCACATAAAAACTAGACAGAAGCATTCTCAGAAACTCCTTTGTGATGGGTTTGTTCAATTCACATTGTTGAACCTTTCTTTTGATACAGCAGTGTTGAAACAAACATTTTGTAGAATCTGCAAGGGTTCATTTCAAATGCTTTGCAGCCTATGTTGGAAAAAGTGATATCTTCACCTAAAAAATAGACAGAAGCATTCTCAGGAACTGCTTTGTAATATGTGCATTCAACTCACAGAGTTGAACCTTCCTTTTGAGAGAGCGGTTTTGAAACAGTCTTTTTGTAGTATCTGCAAGTGGATATTTGGAGCGATTTGAGGTCTAAGAAGGAAAAGGAAGTACCTTCAAATAAAAACTAGACAGAAGGTTTCTCAGAAACTGCTTTGTGATGTGTGCATTTAACTCAAAGTCTTCATCCTTACTTTTGTTAGAGCAGTGTTGAAACACACTTTTTGTAGAACCTGGTAGTGTTCATTTGGAGAGATTTGTTGCCTATGGTGGAAAAAGGATTATCTTCTCTTAAAAACTAGACAGAAGCATTCTTAGAAACTGCTTTGTGATGTGTGTGTTCAATTCACAGAGTTGAAACTTTCCTTTGATAGAGCAGTTTTGAAACACTGCTTTTGTAGAATCTGCTTGTGGATATTGGGATCTCTTTGAGGAATACGTTGTAAAAGGCATATCTTCACATACAAACTAGACAGAAGCATTCTCAGAAACTGCTTTGTGATGTGTGCATTCCACTCACACAGTTGAACCTTCCTTTTGAGAGAGCAGTTTTGAAACAGTCTTTTTGGAGTATCTGCCAGTGGATATTTGGAGCGATTTGAGGCCTGTGAATGAAAAGGAAATATCTTCACATAAAAACTAGACAGAAGCATTCTCGAAAACTCTTTTGTGATGTGTGCATTCACCTCACGGAGTGGAACCATTCTATTGATAGAGCAGTTTTGAATCAGTCTTTTTGTTGGACCTGCAAGTGTTCATTTGGATCGCTTTGAAGCCTATGGTGGAAAAGGAAATATCTTCACATACAAACTAGACAGAAGCATTCTCAGAAACTGCTTTGTGATGTGTGCATTCAACTCACAGAATTGAACCTTTCTTTTGAGAGAGCAGTTTTGTAACAGTCTTTTTGTAGTATCTGCAGGTGGATATTTGGAGCGATTTGAGGCCTATGATGGAAAAGGAAATATCTTCACGTACAAACTAGACAGAAGCATTCTCAGAAACTGCTTTGTGATGTGTGCATTCAACTCACAGAGTTGAACCTTCCTTTTGAGAGAGAAGTTTTGAAACCATCTTTTTTTAGTATCTGCAAGTGGATATTTGGAGCGATTAGAGGCCTATTATGGAAAAGGAAATATCTTCACATAAAAACTAGACAGAAGCATTCTCAGAAACTGCTTTGTGATATGAGCATTCACCTCACAGAGTGGAACCCTTATTTTGATAGAGCAGTTTTGAAACAGTATTTTTGTGGGATCTGAGAGTGTTCATTTGGAGTGCTTTGAAGCCTATGGTGGAAAAGGAAATGACTTCACATAAAAAATAGACAGAAGCCTTCTCAGGAACTTCATTGAGATGTGTGCATTCAACTAACAGAGTTGAAACTGTCTCTTGACAGAGCAGGAGTGAAACACTCCTTTTGTAGTATCTGATTGTGTATATTTGGAACTCTTTGAGTTATTCGTTGGAAACGGGTATCTTCACATAAAAAGTAGACCCAAGCATTCTCAGAAGGTTCTTTGTGATGTGGGCGTTCGACTCACAGACTTGAAACTTTCTTTTGATAGAGCAGTGTTGAAACACACTTTTTGTAGAATCCACAAGTATTCGTTTGGAGCGCTTTGTTGCCTATGTGGGAAAAAGGAATATCTTCACTTAAAAACTAGACAGATAAGCATTCTCTGAAACTCCTCTGTGAAGTGTGTGTTCAATTCACATCGTTGAACCTTTCTTTTGATGGAGCAGTGTTGAAACATACTTTTTGTAGAATCTGCAAGTGTCCATTTCGAGTTCTTTTGTGCGTATGTTGGAAAAAGTGATATCTTCACCTGAAAAATAGACAGAAGCATTCCAGAAACTGCTTTGTAACATGTGCATTCAACTCACAGTGTTGAACCTTCCTTTTGAGAGAGCGGTTTTGCAACAGTCTTTTTGTAGTATCTGCAAGTGGATATTTGCAGTGATTTGAGGCCGAAGAAGGAAAAGGAAATACCTTCAAATAAAAAACTAGACGGAAGCATTTTCGGAAACTGCCTTGTGATGTGTGCATTCAACTCACAGAGTTGAACCTTCCTTTTGAGAGAGAAGTTTTGAAACAGTCTTTTTGTAGTATTTGCAAGTGGATATTTGGAGTGATTTGTGGAGTATGGTGGAAAATGAAATATCTTCACATACAAACTAGACAGAAGCATTCTCAGAAACTGCTTTGTGATGTGTGCATTTAAGTCACAGACTTGAAACTTCCTTTAGGTAGAGCAGTGTTGAAACACACTTTTTGTATAATCTACAAGTGTTCTTTGGAGTGCTTTGTTGCCTATGTTGGAAAAAGAACTATCTTCACATAAAAACTAGACAGAAGCATTCTCAGAAACTCCTTTGTAATGGGTTTGTTCAATTCACATTGTTGAACCTTTCTTTTGATACAGCAGTGTTGAAACAAACATTTTGTAGAATCTGCAAGGGTTCATTTCAAATGCTTTGCGGCCTATGTTGGAAAAAGTGATATCTTCACCTAAAAAATAGACAGAAGCATTCTCAGGAACTGCTTTGTAATATGTGCATTCAACTCACAGAGTTGAACCTTCCTTTTGAGAGAGCGGTTTTGAAACAGTCTTTTTGTAGTATCTGCAAGTGGATATTTGGAGCGATTTGAGGTCTAAGAAGGAAAAGGAAGTACCTTCAAATAAAAACTAGACAGAAGCATTCTTAGAAACTGCTTTGTGATGTGTGTGTTCAATTCACAGAGTTGAAACTTTCCTTTGACAGAGCAGGATTGAAACACTGCTTTTGTAGAATCTGCTTGTGGATATTGGGAGCTCCTTGAGGAATACGTTGTAAAAGGCATATCTTCACATACAAACTAGACAGAAGCATTCTCAGAAACTGCTTTGTGATGTGTGCATTCAACACACAGAGTTGAACCTTCCATTTGAGAGAGCAGTGTTGAAACAGTCTTTTTGTAGTATCTTCAAGTGGATATTTGGAGCGATTTGAGGCCTATGATGGAAAAGGAAATATCTTCACATACAAACTAGACAGAAGCATTCTCAGAAACTGCTTTGTGATGTGAGCATTCAACTCACAGAGTTGAACCTTCCATTTGAGAGAGCAGTGTTGAAACAGTCTTTTTGTAGTATCTGCAAGTGGATATTTGGAGCGATTTGAGGCCTATGATGGAAAAGGAAATATCTTCACATACAAACCAGACAGAAGCAGTCTCAGGAACTGCTTTGTGATGTGTGCATTCAACTCGCAGATTTGAATTTTCATTTTGAGAGAGAGGTTTTGAAACAATCTTTTTATAGTGTCTGCAAGTGTATATTTGTAGTGATTTGAAGCCTAAGATGGAAAAGGAAATATCTTCACATACAAACTAGACAGAAACATTCTCAGGAACTGCTTTTTGATTTGTGCATTCAACTCACACAGTTGAACCTTCCTTTTCAGAGAGCAGCTTTGAAGCAGTCTTTTTGTAATATCAGCAAGTGGATATTTGGAGCGATTTCTGGAGTATGGTGGAAAATGAAATATCTTCACATACAAACTAGACAGAAGCATTGTCAGAAACTGCTTTGTGATGTGTGCATTTAAGTCACAGACTTGAAACTTCCTTTAGGTAGAGCAGTGTTGAAACACACTTTTTGTATAATCTACAAGTGTTCTTTGGAGTGCTTTGTTGCCTATGTTGGAAAAAGAAATATCTTCACATAAAAACTAGACAGAAGCATTCTCAGAAACTCCTTTGTGATGGGTTTGTTCAATTCACATTGTTGAACCATTCTTTTGATACAGCAGTGTTGAAACAAACATTTTGTAGAATCTGCAAGGGTTCATTTCAAATGCTTTGTGGCCTATGTTGGAAAAAGTGATATGTTCACCTAAAAAATAGACAGAAGCATTCTCAGGAACTGCTTTGTAATATGTGCATTCAACTCACAGAGTTGAACCTTCCTTTTGAGAGAGCGGTTTTGAAACAGTCTTTTTGTAGTATCTGCAAGTGGATATTTGGAGCGATTTGAGGTCTAACAAGGAAAAGGAAGTACCTTTAAATAAAAACTAGACAGAAGCTTTCTCAGAAACTGCTTTGTGATGTGTGCATTTAACTCAAAGTCTTGATCCTTACTTTTGTTAGAGCAGTGTTGAAACACACTTTTTGTAGAACCTGGTAGTGTTCATTTGGAGAGATTTGTTGCCTATGGTGGAAAAAGGATTATCTTCTCTTAAAAACTAGACAGAAGCATTCTTAGAAACTGCTTTGTGATGTGTGTGTTCAATTCACAGAGTTGAAACTTTCCTTTGATAGAGCAGTTTTGAAACACTTCTTTTGTAGAATCTGCTTGTGGATATTGGGAGCTCTTTGAGGAATACGTTGTAAAAGGCATATCTTCACATACAAACTAGACAGAAGCATTCTCAGAAACTGCTTTGTGATGTGTGCATTCAACTCACAGAGTTGAACCTTCCATTTGAGAGAGCAGTGTTGAAACAGTCTTTTTGTAGTATCTGCAAGTGGATATTTGGAGCGATTTGAGGCCTATGATGGAAAAGGAAATATCTTCACATACAAACTAGACAGAAGCATTCTCAGAAACTGTTTTGTGATGTGTGCATTCAACCCACAGAGTTGAACCTTCCTTTTGAGAGAGCAGTTTCGAAACAGTCTTTTTGTAGTATCTGCAAGTGGATATTTGGTGCGATTTGAGGCCTATGATGAAAAAGGAAATATCTTCACATACAAACTAGACAGAAGCATTCTCAGTAAACTGCTTTGTGATGTGTGCATTCAACCGACAGATTTGAACTTTCCTTTTGAAGGGGAGGTTTTGAAACAGTCTTTTTGTAGGATCTGCAAGTGGATATTTGTGGTGACTTGGGGCCTCAGATGGAAAAGGAAATACCTTCACATACAAACTAGACAGAAGTATTCTCAGAAACTCCATTGTGATGTGTGCACTCAACTCACAGAGTTGAACCTTCCTTTTGAGAGAGCAGTTTTGAAACAGTCTTTTTGTAACGTCTGCAGGTGGATATTTGGAGCGATTCGAGTACTATGATGGAAAAGGAAATATCTTCACATACAAACTAAACAGAAGCATTCTCAGAAACTTCTTGTGATGTGTGCATTCACCTAACAGAGTGGAACCGTTCTTTTGATAGAGCAGTTTTGAATCTGTCTTTTGGTAGGACCTGCAAGTTTTCATTTGGAGCGCTTTGAAGCCCATGGTGGAAAAGGGACTATCTTCACAAAAAACTAGGCAGAAGCCTTCTCAGGATCTTCATTGAGATGTGTGCATTCAACTAACAGAGTTGAAACTGTCTTTTGACAGAGCAGGAATGAAACACTCCTTTTGTAGTATCTGATTGTGTATATTTGGAACTCTTTGAGTTATTCGTTGGAAACGGGTATCTTCACATAAAAAGTAGACCCAAGCATTCTCAGAAGGTTCTTTGTGATGTGTGCGTTCAACTCACAGACTTGAAACTTTCTTTTGATAGAGCAGTGTTGAAACACCCTTTTTGTAGAATCCACAAGTATTCATTTGGAGCGCTTTGTTGCCTATGTGGGAAAAAGGAATATCTTCACTTAAAAACTAGACAGAAGCATTCTCTGAAACTCCTCTGTGAAGTGTGTGTTCAATTCACATCGTTGAACCTTTCTTTTGATAGAGCAGTGTTGAAACATACTTTTTGTAGAATCTGCAAGTGTCCATTACGAGTTCTTTTGTGCCTATGTTGGAAAAAGTGATATCTTCACCTGAAAAATAGACAGAAGCATTCCAGAAACTGCTTTGTAACATATGCATTCAACTCACAGTGTTGAACCTTCCTTTTGAGAGAGCGGTTTTGAAACAGTCTTTTTGTAGTATCTGCAAGTGGATATTTGCAGTGATTTGAGGCCGAAGAAGGAAAAGGAAATACCTTCAAATAAAAAACTAGACGGAAGCATTTTCAGAAACTGCCTTGTGATGTGTGCATTCAACTCACAGAGTTGAACCTTCCTTTTGAGAGAGAAGTTTTGAAACAGTCTTTTTGTAGTATTTGCAAGTGGATATTTGGAGCGATTTGTGGAGTATGGTGGAAAATGAAATACCTTCACATACAAAGTAGACAGAAGCATTCTCAGAAACTGCTTTGTGATGTGTGCATTTAAGTCACAGGCTTGAAACTTCCTTTAGGTAGAGCAGTGTTGAAACACACTTTTTGTATAATCTACAAGTGTTCTTTGGAGTGCTTTGTTGCCTATGTTGAAAAAACAAATATCTTCACATAGAAACTAGACAGAAGCATTCTCAGAAACTCCTTTGTGATGGGTGTGTTCAATTCACATTGTTGAACCTTTCTTTTGATACAGCAGTGTTGAAACAAACATTTTGTAGAATCTGCAAGTGTTCATTTCAAATGCTTTGTGGCCTATGTTGGAAAAAGTGATATCTTCACCTAAAAAATAGACAGAAGCATTCTCAGGAACTGCTTTGTAATATGTGCATTCAACTCACAGAGTTGAACCTTCCTTTTGAGAGAGCGGTTTTGAACCAGTCTTTTCGTAGTATCTGCAAGTGGATATTTGGAGCGATTTGAGGTCTAAGAAGGAAAAGGAAGTACCTTCAAATAAAAACTAGACAGAAGCTTTCTCAGAAACTGCTTTGTGATGTGCGCATTTAACTCAAAGTCTTGATCCTTACTTTTGTTAGAGCAGTGTTGAAACACACTTTTTGTAGAACCTGGTAGTGTTCATTTGGAGAGATTTGTTGCCTATGGTGGAAAAAGGATTATCTTCTCTTAAAAACTAGACAGAAGCATTCTTAGAAACTGCTTTGTGATGTGTGTGTTCAATTCACAGAGTGGAAACTTTCCTTTGACAGAGCAGGTTTGAAACTCTGCTTCTGTAGCATCTGCTTGTGGATATTGGGAGCTCCTTGAGGAATACGTTGTAAAAGGCATATCTTCACATACAAACTAGACAGAAGCATTCTCAGAAACTGCTTTGTGATGTGTGCATTCAACTCACAGAGTTGAACCTTCCATTTGAGAGAGCAGTGTTGAAACAGTCTTTTTGTAGTATCTTCAAGTGGATATTTGGAGCGATTTGAGGCCTATGATGGAAAAGGAAATATCTTCACATACAAACTAGACAGAAGCATTCTCAGAAACTGCTTTGGGATGTGTGCATTCAACACTCAGAGTTGAACCTTCCTTTTGAGAGAGCAGTTTTGAAACAGTCTTCTTGCAGTATCTGCAAGTGGATATTTGGTGTGGTTTGAGGCCTATGATGCAAAAGGAAATATCTTCACATACAAACTAGACAGAAGCATTCTCAGAAACTGCTTTGTGATGTGTGCATTCAACCGACAGATTTGAACTGTCCTTTTGAGAGGGAGGTTTTGAAACAGTCTTTTTGTAGTATCTGCAAGTGGATATTTGTAGTGACTTGGGGCCTCAGGTGGAAAAGGAAATACCTTCACATACAAAGTAGACAGAAGTATTCTCAGAAACTCCATTGTGATGTGTGCACTCAACTCACAGAGTTGAACCTTCCTTTTGAGAGAGCAGTTTTGAAACAGTCTTTTTGTAACGTCTGCAGGTGGATATTTGGAGCGATTCGTGTAGTATGATGGAAAAGGAAATATCTTCACATACAAACGAAACAGAAGCATTCTCAGAAACTTCTTGTGATGTGTGCATTCACCTAACAGAGTGGATCCGTTCTTTTGATAGAGCAGTTTTGAATCAGTCTTTTGGTAGGACCTGCAAGTTTTCATTTGGAGCGCTTTGAAGCCCATGGTGGAAAAGGGACTATCTTCAGAAAAAACTAGGCAGAAGCCTTCTCAGGATCTTCATTGAGATGTGTGCATTCAACTAACAGAGTTGAAACTGTCTTTTGACAGAGCAGGAATGAAACACTCCTTTTGTAGTATCTGATTGTGTATATTTGGAACTCTTTGAGTTATTCGTTGGAAACGGGTATCTTCACATAAAAAGTATACCCAAGCATTCTCAGAAGGTTCTTTGTGATGTGTGCGTTCAACTCACAGACTTGAAACTTTCTTTTGATAGAGCAGTGTTGAAACACACGTTTTGTAGAAACCGCAAGTATTCATTTGGAGCGCTTTGTTGCCTATGTGGGAAAAAGGAATATCTTCACTTAAAAACTAGACAGAAGCATTCTCTGAAACTCCTCTGTGAAGTGTGTGTTCAATTCACATCGTTGAACCTTTCTTTTGATAGAGCAGTGTTGAAACATACTTTTTGTAGAATCTGCAAGTGTCCATTTCGAGTTCTTTTGTGCGTATGTTGGAAAAAGTGATATCTTCACCTGAAAAATAGACAGAAGCATTCCAGAAACTGCTTTGTAACATGTGCATTCAACTCACAGTGTTGAACCTTCCTTTTGAGAGAGCGGTTTTGAAACAGTCTTTTTGTAGTATCTGCAAGTGGATATTTGCAGTGATTTGAGGCCGAAGAAGGAAAAGGAAATACCTTCAAATAAAAAACTAGACGGAAGCATTTTCAGAAACTGCCTTGTGATGTGTGCATTCAACTCATAGAGCTGAACCTTCCTTTTGAGAGAGAAGTTTTGAAACAGTCTTTTTGTAGTATTTGCAAGTGGATATTTGGAGCGATTTGTGGAGTATGGTGGAAAATGAAATATCTTCACATACAAACTAGACAGAAGCATTCTCAGAAACTGCTTTGTGATGTGTGCATTTAAGTCACAGACTTGAAACTTCCTTTAGGTAGAGCAGTGTTGAAACACACTTGTTGTATAATCTACAAGTGTTCTTTGGAGTGCTTTGTTGCCTATGTTGGAAAAAGAAGTATCTTCACATAAAAACTAGACAGAAGCATTCTCAGAAACTCCTTTGTGATGGGTGTGTTCAATTCACATTGTTGAACCTTTCTTTTGATACAGCAGTGTTGAAACAAACATTTTGTAGAATCTGCAAGTGTTCATTTCAAATGCTTTGAGGCCTTTGTTGGAAAAAGTGTTATCTTCACCTAAAAAATAGACAGAAGCATTCTCAGGAACTGCTTTGTAATATGTGCATTCAACTCACATAGTTGAACCTTCCTTTTGAGAGAGCAGTTTTGAAACAGTCTTTTTGTAGTATCTGCAAGTGGATATTTGGAGCGATTTGAGGTTTAAGAAGGAAAAGGAAGCATCTTCAAATAAAAACTAGACAGAAGCTTTCTCAGAAACTGCTTTGTGATGTGTGCATTTAACTCAAAGTCTTGATCCTTACTTTTGTTAGAGCAGTGTTGAAACACACTTTTTGTAGAACCTGGTAGTGTTCATTTGGAGAGATTTGTTGCCTATGGTGGAAAAAGGATTATCTTCTCTTAAAAACTAGACAGAAGCATTCTTAGAAACTGCTTTGTGATGTGTGTGTTCAATTCACACAGTTGAAACTTTCCTTTGATAGAGCAGTTTCGAAACACTGCTTTTGTAGAATCTGCTTGTGGATATTGGGAGCTCCTTGAGGAATACGTTGTAAAAGGCATATCTTCACGTACAAACTAGACAGAAGCATTCTCAGAAACTGCTTTGTGATGTGTGCATTCAACTCACAGAGTTGAACCTTCCATTTGAGAGAGCAGTGTTGAAACAGTCTTTTTGTAGTATCTGCAAGTGGATATTTGGAGCGATTTGAGGCCTATGATGGAAAAGGAAACATCTTCACATACAAACTAGAGAGAAGCATTCTCAGAAACTGCTTTGTGATGTGTGCATTCAACCCACAGAGTTGAACCTTCCTTTTGAGAGAGCAGTGTTGAAACGGTCTTTTGTAGTATCTGCAAGTGGATATTTGGAGCGATTTGAGGCCTATGATGGAAAAGGAAATATCTTCACATACAAACTAGACAGAAGCATTCTCAGAAACTGCTTTGTGATGTGTGCATTCAACCGACAGATTTGAACTTTCCTTTTGAGAGGGAGGTTTTGAAACAGTCTTTTTGTATTATCTGCAATTGGATATTTGTAGTGACTTGGGGCCTCAGGTGGAAAAGGAAATACCTTCACATACAAACTAGAAAGAAGTATTCTCAGAAACTCCATTGTTATGTGTGCACTCAACTCACAGAGTTGAACCTTCCTTTTGAGAGAGCAGTTTTGAAACAGTCTTTTTGTAATGTCTGCCAGTGGATATTTGGAGCGATTCGAGTACTATGATGGAAAAGGAAATATCTTCACATACAAACTAAACAGAAGCATTCTCAGAAACTTCTTGTGATGTGTGCATTCACCTAACAGAGTGGAACCGTTCTTTTGATAGAGCAGTTTTGAATCAGTCTTTTGGTAGGACCTGCAAGTTTTCATTTGGAGTGCTTTGAAGCCCATGGTGGAAAAGGGACTATCTTCACAAAAAACTAGGCAGAAGCCTTCTCAGGAACTTCATTGAGATGTGTGCATTCAACTAACAGAGTTGAAACTGTCTTTTGACAGAGGAGGAATGAAACACTCCTTTTGTAGTATCTGATTGTGTATATTTGGAACTCTTTGAGTTATTCATTGGAAACGGGTATCTTCACATAAAAAGTAGACCCAAGCATTCTCAGAAGGTTCTTTGTGATGTGGGCGTTCAACTCACAGACTTGAAACTTTCTTTTGATAGAGCAGTGTTGAAACACACTTTTTGTAGAATCCAGAAGTATTCGTTTGGAGCGCTTTGTTGCCTATGTGGGAAAAAGGAATATCTTCACTTAAAAACTAGACAGAAGCATTCTCTGAAACTCCTCTGTGAAGTGTGTGTTCAATTCACATCGTTGAACCTTTCTTTTGATAGAGCAGTGTTGAAACATACTTTTTGTAGAATCTGCAAGTGTCCATTTCGAGTTCTTTTGTGCGTATGTTGGAAAAAGTGATATCTTCACCTGAAAAATAGACAGAAGCATTCCAGAAACTGCTTTGTAACATGTGCATTCAACTCACAGTGTTGAACCTTCCTTTTGAGAGAGCGGTTTTGAAACAGTCTTTTTGTAGTATCTGCAAGTGGATATTTGCAGTGATTTGAGGCCGAAGAAGGAAAGGAAATACCTTCAAATAAAAAACTAGACGGAAGCATTTTCAGAAACTGCATTGTGATGTGTGCATTCAACTCACAGAGTTGAACCTTCCTTTTGAGAGAGAAGTTTTGAAACAGTCTTTTTGTAGTATTTGCAAGTGGATATTTGGAGCGATTTGTGGAGTATGGTGGAAAATGAAATATCTTCACATACAAACTAGACAGAAGCATTGTCAGAAACTGCTTTGTGATGTGTGCATTTAAGTCACAGACTTGAAACTTCCTTTAGGTAGAGCAGTGTTGAAACACACTTTTTGTATAATCTACAAGTGTTCTTTGGAGTGCTTTGTTGCCTATGTTGGAAAAAGAAATATCTTCACATAAAAACTAGACAGAAGCATTCTCAGAAACTCCTTTGTAATGGGTTTGTTCAATTCACATTGTTGAACCTTTCTTTTGATACAGCAGTGTTGAAACAAACATTTTGTAGAATCTGCAAGGGTTCATTTCAAATGCTTTGCGGCCTATGTTGGAAAAAGTGATATCTTCACCTAAAAAATAGACAGAAGCATTCTCAGGAATTGCTTTGTAATATGTGCATTCAACTCACAGAGTTGAACCTTCCTTTTGAGAGAGCGGTTTTGAAACAGTCTTTTTGTAGTATCTGCAAGTGGATATTTGGAGCGATTTGAGGTCTAAGAAGGAAAAGGAAGTACCTTCAAATAAAAACTAGAAAGAAGCTTTCTCAGAAACTGCTTTGTGATGTGTGCATTTAACTCAAAGTCTTGATCCTTACTTTTGTTAGAGCAGTGTTGAAACACACTTTTTGTAGAACCTGGTAGTGTTCATTTGGAGAGATTTGTTGCCTATGGTGGAAAAAGGATTATCTTCTCTTAAAAACTAGACAGAAGCATTCTTAGAAACTGCTTTGTGATGTGTGTGTTCAATTCACAGAGTTGAAACTTTCCTTTGACAGAGCAGGTTTGAAACACTGCTTCTGTAGAATCTGCTTGTGGATATTGGGAGCTCCTTGAGGAATACGTTGTAAAAGGCATATCTTCACATACAAACTAGACAGAAGCATTCTCAGAAACTGCTTTGTGATGTGTGCATTCAACTCACAGAGTTGAACCTTCCATTTGAGAGAGCAGTGTTGAAACAGTCTTTTTGTAGTATCTGCAAGTGGATATTTGGAGCGATTTGAGGCCTAGGATGGAAAAGGAAATATCTTCACATACAAACTAGACAGAAGCATTCTCAGAAACTGCTTTGTGATGTGTGCATTCAACCCACAGTATTTGAACCTTCCTTTTGAGAGAGCAGTGTTGAAACGGTCTTTTGTAGTATCTGCAAGTGGATATTTGGAGCGATTTGAGGCCTATGATGGAAAAGCAAATATCTTCACATACAAACTAGACAGAAGCATTCTCAGAAACTGCTTTTTGATGTGTGCATTCAACCGACAGATTTGAACTTTCCTTTGGAGAGGGAGGTTTTGAAACAGTCTTTTTGTAGTATCTGCAAGTGGATATTTGTAGTGACTTGGGGCCTCAGATGGAAAAGGAAATACCTTCACATACAAACTAGACAGAAGTATTCTCAGAAACTCCATTGTGATGTGTGCACTCAACTCACAGAGTTGAACCTTCCTTTTGAGAGAGCAGTTTTGAAACAGTCTTTTTGTAATGTCTGCAGGTGGATATTTGGAGCGATTCGTGTAGTATGATGGAAAAGGAAATATCTTCACATACAAACTAAACAGAAGCATTCTCAGAAACTCCTTGTGATGTGTGCGTTCACCTAACAGAGTGGAACCGTTCTTTTGATAGAGCAGTTTTGAATCAGTCTTTTGGTAAGACCTGCAAGTTTTCATGTGGAGCGCTTTGAAGCCCATTGTGGAAAACGGACTATCTTCACAAAAAACTAGGCAGAAGCCTTCTCAGGAACTTCATTGAGATGTGTGCATTCAACTAACAGAGTTGAAACTGTCTTTTGACAGAGCAGGAGTGAAACACTCCTTTTGTAGTATCTGATTGTGTATATTTGGAACTCTTTGAGTTATTCGTTGGAAACGGGTATCTTCACATAAAAAGTAGACCCAATAATTCTCAGAAGGTTCTTTGTGATGTGTGCGTTCAACTCACAGACTTGAAACTTTCTTTTGATAGAGCAGTGTTGAAACACAGTTTTTGTAGAATCCACAAGTATTCATTTGGAGCGCTTTGTTGCCTATGTGGGAAAAAGGAATATCTTCACTTAAAAACTAGACAGAAGCATTCTCTGAAACTCCTCTGTGAAGTGTGTGTTCAATTCACATCGTTGAACCTTTCTTTTGATAGAGCAGTGTTGAAACATACTTTTTGTAGAATCTGCAAGTGTCCATTTCGAGTTCTTTTGTGCGTATGTTGGAAAAAGTGATATCTTCACCTGAAAAATAGACAGAAGCATTCCAGAAACTGCTTTGTAACATGTGCATTCAACTCACAGTGTTGAACCTTCCTTTTGAGAGAGCGGTTTTGAAACAGTCTTTTTGTAGTATCTGCAAGTGGATATTTGCAGTGATTTGAGGCCAAAGAAGGAAAAGGAAACACCTTCAAATAAAAAACTAGACGGAAGCATTTTCAGAAACTGCCTTGTGATGTGTGCATTCAACTCACAGAGTTGAACCTTCCTTTTGAGAGAGAAGTTTTGAAACAGTCTTTTTGTAGTATTTGCAAGTGGATATTTGGAGCGATTTGTGGAGTATGGTGGAAAATGAAATATCTTCACATACAAACTAGACAGAAGCATTCTCAGAAACTGCTTTGTGATGTGTGCACTTAAGTCACAGACTTGAAACTTCCTTTAGGTAGAGCAGTGTTGAAACACACTTTTTGTATAATCTACAAGTGTTCTTTGGAGTGCTTTGTTGCCTATGTTGGAAAAAGAATTATCTTCACATAAAAACTAGACAGAAGCATTCTCAGAAACTCCTTTGTGATGGGTTTGTTCAATTCACATTGTTGAACCTTTCTTTTGATACAGCAGTGTTGAAACAAACATTTTGTAGAATCTGCAAGGGTTCATTTCAAATGCTTTGCGGCCTATGTTGGAAAAAGTGATATGTTCACCTAAAAATAGACAGAAGCATTCTCAGGAATTGCTTTGTAATATGTGCATTCAACTCACAGAGTTGAACCTTCCTTTTGAGAGAGCGGTTTTGAAACAGTCTTTTTGTAGTATCTGCAAGTGGATATTTGGAGCGATTTGAGGTCTAAGAAGGAAAAGGAAGTACCTTCAAATAAAAACTAGACAGAAGCTTTCTCAGAAACTGCTTTGTGATGTGTGCATTTAACTCAAAGTCTTGATCCTTACTTTTTTTAGAGCAGTGTTGAAACACACTTTTTGTAGAACCTGGTAGTGTTCATTTGGAGAGATTTGTTGCCTATTGTGGAAAAAGGATTATCTTCTCTTAAAAACTAGACAGAAGCATTCTTAGAAACTGCTTTGTGATGTGTGTGTTCAATTCACAGAGTTGAAACTTTCCTTTGACAGAGCAGGTTTGAAACACTGCTTCTGTAGAATCTGCTTGTGGATATTGGGAGCTCCTTGAGGAATACGTTGTAAAAGGCATATCCTCACATACAAACTAAACAGAAGCATTCTCAGAAACTGCTTTGTGATGTGTGTATTCAACTCACAGAGTTAAGCCTTCCATTTGAGAGAGCAGTGTTGAAACAATCTTTTTGTAGTATCTGCAAGTGGATATTTGGAGCGATTTGAGGCCTATGATGGAAAAGGAAATATCTTCACATACAAACTAGACAGAAGCATTCTCAGAAACTGCTTTGTGATGTGTGCATTCAACCCACAGAGTTGAACCTTCCTTTTGAGAGAGCAGTGTTGAAACGGTCTTTTGTAGTATCTCCAAGTGGATATTTTGAGCGATTTGAGGGCTATGATGGAAAAGGAAATATCTTCACATACAAACTAGACAGAAGCAGTCTCAGGAACTGCTTTGTGATGTGTGCATTCAACTCACAGATTTGAACTTTCCTTTTGAGAGAGCGGTTTTGAAAGAGTCTTTTTGTAGTATCTGAAAGTGGATATTTGTAGTGACTTGGGGCCTCAGATGGAAAAGGAAATACCTTCACATACAAAGTAGACAGAAGTATTCTCAGAAACTCCATTGTGATGTGTGCACTCAACTCACAGAGTTGAACCTTCCTTTTGAGAGAGCAGTTTTGAAACAGTCTTTTTGTAACGTCTGCAGGTAGATACTTGGAGCGATTCGAGTACTATGATGGAAAAGGAAATATCTTCACATACAAACTAAACAGAAGCATTCTCAGAATCTTCTTGTGATGTGTGCATTCACCTAACAGAGTGGAACCGTTCTTTTGATAGAGCAGTTTTGAATCAGTCTTTTGGTAGGACCTGCAAGTTTTCATTTGGAGCGCTTTGAAGCCCATGGTGGAAAAGGGACTATCTTCACAAAAAACTAGGCAGAAGCCTTCTCAGGAACTTCATTGAGATGTGTGCATTCAACTAACAGAGTTGAAACTGTCTTTTGACAGAGCAGGAATGAAGCACTCCTTTTGTAGTATCTGATTGTGTATATTTGGAACTCTTTGAGTTATTCGTTGGAAACGGGTATCTTCACATAAAAAGTAGACCCAAGCATTCTCAGAAAGGTTCTTTGTGATGTGTGCGTTCAACTCACAGGACTTGAAACTTTCTTTTGATAGAGCAGTGTTGAAACACACTTTTTGTAGAATCCACAAGTATTCGTTTGGAGCGCTTTGTTGCCTATGTGGGAAAAAGGAATATCTTCACTTAAAAACTAGACAGAAGCATTCTCAGAAACTACTTTGTAAAGTGTGTGTCCAATTCACAGAGTTGAAATTTTCTTTTGATAGGGTAGTTTTGAAACACTGCTTTCGAAGAATCTGCAAGTGTTCATTTGGAGCGCTGTGTTGCCTATGGTGGTAAAAGAAATATCCTCACATCAAAACTAGACAGAAGCATTCCAGAAACTGCTTTGTAACATATGCATTCAACTCACAGTGTTGAACCTTCCTTTTGAGAGAGCGGTTTTGAAACAGTCTTTTTGTAGTATCTGCAAGTGGATATTTGCAGTGATTTGAGGCCGAAGAAGGAAAAGGAAATACCTTCAAATAAAAAACTAGACGGAAGCATTTTCTGAAACTGCCTTGTGATGTGTGCATTCAACTCACAGAGTTGAACCTTCCTTTTGAGAGAGAAGTTTTGAAACAGTCTTTTTGTAGTATTTGCAAGTGGATATTTGCAGCGATTTGTGGAGTATGGTGGAAAATTAAATATCTCCACATACAAACTAGACAGAAGCATTCTCAGAAACTGCTTTGTGATGTGTGCATTTAACTCACAGACTTGAAACTTCCTTTAGATAGAGCAGTGTTGAAACACACTTTTTGTATAATCTACAAGTGTTCTTTGGAGTGCTTTGTTGCCTATGTTGGAAAAAGAAATATCTTCACATAAAAACTAGACAGAAGCATTCTCAGAAACTCCTTTGTGATGGGTGTGTTCAATTCACATTGTTGAACCTTGCTTTTGATACAGCAGTGTTGAAACAAACATTTTGTAGAATCTGCAAGTGTTCATTTCAAATGCTTTGTGGCCTCTGTTGGAAAAAGTGATATCTTCACCTAAAAAATAGACAGAAGTATTCTCAGAAACTCCATTGTGATGTGTGCACTCAACTCACAGAGTTGAACCTTCCTTTTGAGAGAGCGGTTTTGAAACAATCTTTTTGTAGTGTCTGCAAGTGGATATTTGGAGCGATTTGAGGTTTAATAAGGAAAAGGAAGTACCTTCAAATAAAATCTAGACAGAAGCTTTCTCAGAAACTGCTTTGTGATGTGTGCATTTAACTCAAAGTCTTGATCCTTTCTTTTGATAGAGCAGTGTTGAAACACACTTTTTGTAGAACATGCTAGTGTTCATTTGGAGAGATTTCTTGCCTATGGTGGAAAAAGGATTATCTTCTCTTAAAAACTAGAGAGAAGCATTCTTAGAAACTGCTTTGTGCTGTGTGTGTTCAATTCACAGAGTTGAAACTTTCCTTTGATAGAGCAGGTTTGAAACACTGCTTTTGTAGAATCTGCTTGTGGATAGTGGGAGCTCTTTGAGGAATACGTTGTAAAAGGCATATCTTCACATACAAACTAGACAGAAGCATTCTCAGAAACTGCTTTGTGATGTGTGCATTCAACTCACAGAGTTGAACCTTCCATTTGAGAGAGCAGTGTTGAAACGATCTTTTTGTAGTATCTTCAATTGGATATTTGGAGCGATTTGAGGCCTATGATGGAAAAGGAAATATCTTCACATACAAACTAGACAGAAGCATTCTCAGAAACTGCTTTGTGATGTGTGCATTCAACCCACAGAGTTGAACCTTCCTTTTGAGAGAGCAGTGTTGAAACGGTCTTTTGTAGTATCTGCAAGTGGATATTTGGAGCGATTTGAGGCCTATGATGGAAAAGGAAATATCTTCACATACAAACTAGACAGAAGCAGTCTCAGGAACTGCTTTGTGATGTGTGCATTCAACTCACAGATTTGAACTTTCCTTTTGAGAAGGAGGTTTTGAAACTGTCTTTTTGTAGTATCTACAAGTGGATATTTGTAGTGACTTGGGGCCTCAGATGGAAAAGGAAATACCTTCACATACAAACTAGAAAGAAGTATTCTCAGAAACTCCATTGTGATGTGTGCACTCAACTCACAGAGTTGAACCTTCCTTTTGAGAGAGCAGTTTTGAAACAGTCTTTTTGTAATGTCTGCAAGTGGGTATTTGGAGCGATTCGAGTACTATGATGGGAAAGGAAATATCTTCACATACATACTAAACAGAAGCATTCTCAGAAACGTCTTGTGATGTGTGCCTTCACCTAACAGAGTGGAACCGTTCTTTTGATAGAGCAGTTTTGAATCAGTCTTTTGGTAGGACCTGCAAGTTTTCATTTGGAGCGCTATGAAGCCTATGGTGGAAAAGGGAATATCTTCACAAAAAACTAGGCAGAAGCCTTCTCAGGAACTTCATTGAGCTGTGTGCATTCAACTAACAGAGTTGAAACTGTCTTTTGACAGAGCAGGAATGAAACACTCCTTTTGTAGTATCTGATTGTGTATATTTGGAACTCTTTGAGTTATTCGTTGGAAACGGGTATCTTCACATAAAAAGTAGACCCAAGCATTCTCAGAAGGTCCTTTGTGATGTGTGCGTTCAACTCACAGACTTGAAACTTTCTTTTGATAGAGCAGTGTTGAAACACAGTTTTTGTAGAATCCACAAGTATTCATTTGGAGCGCTTTGTTGCCTATGTGGGAAAAAGGAATATCTTCACTTAAAAACTAGACAGAAGCATTCTCTGAAACTCCTCTGTGAAGTGTGTGTTCAATTCACATCGTTGAACCTTTCTTTTGATAGAGCAGTGTTGAAACATACTTTTTGTAGAATCTGCAAGTGTCCATTTCGAGTTCTTTTGTGCGTATGTTGGAAAAAGTGATATCTTCACCTGAAAAATAGACAGAAGCATTCCAGAAACTGCTTTGTAACATGTGCATTCAACTCACAGTGTTGAACCTTCCTTTTGAGAGAGCGGTTTTGAAACAGTCTTTTTGTAGTATCTGCAAGTGGATATTTGCAGTGATTTGAGGCCGAAGAAGGAAAAGGAAATACCTCAAATAAAAAACTAGACGGAAGCATTTTCAGAAACTGCCTTGTGATGTGTGCATTCAACTCACAGAGTTGAACCTTCCTTTTGAGAGAGAAATTTTGAAACAGTCTTTTTGCAGTATTTGCAAGTGGATATTTGGAGCGATTTGTGGAGTATGGTGGAAAATGAAATATCTTCACATACAAAGTAGACAGAAGCATTCTCAGAAACTGCTTTGTGATGTGTGCATTTAAGTCACAGACTTGAAACTTCCTTTAGGTAGAGCAGTGTTGAAACACACTTTTTGTATAATCTACAAGTGTTCTTTGGAGTGCTTTGTTGCCTATGTTGGAAAAAGAAATATCTTCACATAAAAACTAGACAGAAGCATTCTCAGAAACTCCTTTGTGATGGGTTTGTTCAATTCACATTGTTGAACCTTTCTTTTGATACAGCAGTGTTGAAACAAACATTTTGTAGAATCTGCAAGTGCTCATTTCAAATGCTTTGTGGCCTATGTTGGAAAAAGTGATATCTTCACCTAAAAAATAGACAGAAGCATTCTCAGGAACTGCTTTGTAATATGTGCATTCAAGCTCACAGAGTTGAACCTTCCTTTTGAGAGAGCGGTTTTGAAACAGTCTTTTTGTAGTATCTGCAAGTGGATATTTGGAGCGATTTGAGGTCTAAGAAGGAAAAGGAAGTACCTTCAAATAAAAACTAGACAGAAGCTTTCTCAGAAACTGCTTTGTGATGTGTGCATTTAACTCAAAGTCTTGATCCTTTCTTTTGATAGAGCAGTGTTGAAACACACTTTTTGTAGAACATGCTAGTGTTCATTTGGAGAGATTTCTTGCCTATGGTGGAAAAAGGATTATCTTCTCTTAAAAACTAGAGAGAAGCATTCTTAGAAACTGCTTTGTGATGTGTGTGTTCAATTCACAGAGTTGAAACTTTCCTTTGACAGAGCAGGTTTGAAACACTGCTTCTGTAGAATCTGCTTGTGGATATTGGGAGCTCCTTGAGGAATACGTTGTAAAAGCCATATCTTCACATACAAACTAGACAGAAGCATTCTCAGAAACTGCTTTGTGATGTGTGCATTCAACTCACAGAGTTGAACCTTCCATTTGAGAGAGCAGTGTTGAAACGGTCTTTTTGTAGTATCTTCAATTGGATATTTGGAGCGATTTGAGGTCTATGATGGAAAAGGAAATATCTTCACATACAAACTAGACAGAAGCATTCTCAGAAACTGCTTTGTGATGTGTGCATTCAACCCACAGAGTTGAACCTTCCTTTTGAGAGAGCAGTGTTGAAACAGTCTTTTTGTAGTATCTGCAAGTGGATATTTGGTGCGATTTGAGGCCTATGATGAAAAAGGAAATATCTTCACATACAAACTAGACAGAAGCATCCTCAGAAACTGCTTTGTGATGTGTGCATTCAACTCATAGAGTTGAAAATTCCCTTTGAGAGAGCAGTTTTGAAACAGTCTTTTTGTAGTATCTGCAATTGGATTTTTGGAGCGATTTGAGGCCTAAGGTGGAAAATATAATATCTTCACATAAAAACTAGACAGAAGTATTCTCAGAAACTCCATTGTGATGTGTGCACTCAACTCACAGAGTTGAACCTTCCTTTTGAGAGAGCAGTTTTGAAACAGTCTTTTTGTAACGTCTGCAGGTGGATATTTGGAGCGATTCGAGTACTATGATGTAAAAGGAAATATCTTCACATACAAACTAAACAGAAGCATTCTCAGAAACTTCTTGTGATGTGTGCATTCACCTAACAGAGTGGAACCGTTCTTTTGATAGAGCAGTTTTGAATCAGTCTTTTGGTAGGACCTGCAAGTTTTCATTTGGAGCGCTTTGAAGCCCATGGTGGAAAAGGGACTATCATCTTCACAAAAAACTAGGCAGAAGCCTTCTCAGGAACTTCATTGGGATGTGTGCATTCAACTAACAGAGTTGAAACTGTCTTTTGACAGAGGAGGAGTGAAACACTCCTTTTGTAGTATCTGATTGTGTATATTTGGAACTCTTTGAGTTATTCGTTGGAAACGGGTATCTTCACATAAAAAGTAGACCCAAGCATTCTCAGAAGGTTCTTTGTGATGTGTGCGTTCAACTCACAGACTTGAAACTTTCTTTTGATAGAGCAGTGTTGAAACACACTTTTTGTAGAATCCACAAGTATTCCTTTGGAGCGCTTTGTTGCCTATGTGGGAAAAAGGAATATCTTCACTTAAAAACTAGACAGAAGCATTCTCTGAAACTCCTCTGTGAAGTGTGTGTTCAATTCACATCGTTGAACCTTTCTTTTGATAGAGCAGTGTTGAAACATAATTTTTGTAGAATCTGCAAGTGTAAATTTCGAGTTCTTTTGTGCGTATGCTGGAAAAAGTGATATCTTCACCTGAAAAATAGACAGAAGCATTCCGGAAACTGCTTTGTAACATGTGCATTCAACTCACAGTGTTGAACCTTCCTTTTGAGGGAGCGGTTTTGAAACAGTCTTTTTGTAGAATCTGCAAGTGGATATTTGCAGTGATTTGAGGCCGAAGAAAGAAAAGGAAATACCTTCAAATAAAAAACCAGACGGAAGCATTTTCAGAAACTGCCTTGTGATGTGTGCATTCAACTCACAGAGTTGAACCTTCCTTTTGAGAGAGAAGTTTTGAAACAGTCTTTTTGTAGTATTTGCAAGTGGATATTTGGAGCGATTTGTGGAGTATGGTGGAAAATGAAATATCTTCACATACAAACTAGACAGAAGCATTGTCAGAAACTGCTTTGTGATGTGTGCATTTAAGTCACAGACTTGAAACTTCCTTTAGGTAGAGCAGTGTTGAAACACACTTTTTGTATAATCTACAAGTGTTCTTTGGAGTGCTTTGTTGCCTATGTTGGAAAAAGAAATATCTTCACATAAAAACTAGACAGAAGCATTCTCAGAAACTCCTTTGTGATAGGTTTGTTCAAATCACATTGTTGAACCTTTCTTTTGATACAGCAGTGTTGAAACAAACATTTTGTAGAATCTGCAAGGGTTCATTTCAAATGCTTTGCGGCCTATGTTGGAAAAAGTGATATCTTCACCTAAAAAATAGACAGAAGCATTCTCAGGAACTGCTTTGTAATATGTGCATTCAACTCACAGAGTTGAACCTTCCTTTTGAGAGAGCGGTTTTGAAACAGTCTTTTTGTAGTATCTGCAAGTGGATATTTGGAGCGATTTGAGGTCTAAGAAGGAAAAGGAAGTACCTTCAAATAAAAACTAGACAGAAGCTTTCTCAGAAACTGCTTTGTGATGTGTGCATTTAACTCAAAGTCTTGATCCTTTCTTTTGTTAGAGCAGTGTTGAAACACACTTTTTGTAGAACCTGGTAGTGTTCATTTGGAGAGATTTGTTGCCTATGGTGGAAAAAGGATTATCTTCTCTTAAAAACTAGACAGAAGCATTCTTAGAAACTGCTTTGTGATGTGTGTGTTCAATTCACAGAGTTGAAACTTTCCTTTGACAGAGCAGGTTTGAAACACTGCTTCTGTAGAATCTGCTTGTGGATATTGGGAGCTCCTTGAGGAATACGTTGTAAAAGGCATATCTTCACATTCAAACTAGACAGAAGCATTCTCAGAAACTGCTTTGTGATGTGTGCATTCAACTCACAGAGTTGAACCTTCCATTTGAGAGAGCAGTGTTGAAACAGTCTTTTTGTAGTATCTTCAAGTGGATATTTGGAGCGATTTGAGGCCTATGATGGAAAAGGAAATATCTTCACATACAAACTAGACAGAAGCATTCTCAGAAACTACTTCCAGATGTGTGCATTCAACCCACAGAGTTGAACCTTCCTTTTGAGAGAGCAGTGTTGAAACGGTCTTTTGTAGTATCTGCAAGTGGATATTTGGAGCGATTTGAGGCCTATGATGGAAAAGGAAATATCTTCACATACAAACTAGACAGAAGCATTCTCAGAAACTGCTTTGTGATGTGTGCATTCAACCGACAGATTTGAACTTTCCTTTGGAGAGGGAGGTTTTGAAACAGTCTTTTTGTAGTATCTGCAAGTGGATATTTGTAGTGACTTGGGGCCTCAGGTGGAAAAGGAAATACCTTCACATACAAAGTAGACAGAAGTATTCTCAGAAACTCCATTGTGATGTGTGCACTCAACTCACAGAGTTGAACCTTCCTTTTGAGAGAGCAGTTTTGAAACAGTCTTTTTGTAACGTCTGCAGGTGGATATTTGGAGCGATTCGTGTAATATGATGGAAAAGGAAATATCTTCACATACAAACTAAACAGAAGCATTCCCAGAAACGTCTTCTGATGTGTGCGTTCACCTAACAGAGTGGAACCGTTCTTTTGATAGAGCAGTTTTGAATCAGTCTTTTGGTAGGTCCTGCAAGTTTTCATTTGGAGCGCTTTGAAGCCTATGGTGGAAAAGGGAATATCTTCACAAAAAACTAGGCAGAAGCCTTCTCAGGAACTTCATTGAGATGTGTGCATTCAACTAACAGAGTTGAAACTGTCTTTTGACAGAGGAGGAATGAAACACTCCTTTTGTAGTATCTGATTGTGTGTATTTGGAACTCTTTGAGTTATTCGTTGGAAACGGGTATCTTCACATAAAAAGTAGACCCAAGCATTCTCAGAAGGTTCTTTGTGATGTGTGCGTTCAACTCACAGACTTGAAACTTTCTTTTGATAGAGCAGTGTTGAAACACACTTTTTGTAGAATCCACAAGTATTCCTTTGGAGCGCTTTGTTGCCTATGTGGGAAAAAGGAATATCTTCACTTAAAAACTAGACAGAAGCATTCTCTGAAACTCCTCTGTGAAGTGTGTGTTCAATTCACATCGTTGAACCTTTCTTTTTATAGAGCAGTGTTGAAACATACTTTTTGTAGAATCTGCAAGTGTCCATTTCGAGTTCTTTTGTGCGTATGTTGGAAAAAGTGATATCTTCAGCTGAAAAATAGACAGAAGCATTCCAGAAACTGCTTTGTAACATATGCATTCAACTCACAGTGTTGAACCTTCCTTTTGAGAGAGCGGTTTTGAAACAGTCTTTTTGTAGTATCTGCAAGTGGATATTTGCAGTGATTTGAGGCCGAAGAAGGAAAAGGAAATACCTTCAAATAAAAAACTAGACGGAAGCATTTTCAGAAACTGCCTTGTGATGTGTGCATTCAACTCACAGAGTTGAACCTTCCTTTTGAGAGAGAAGTTTTGAAACAGTCTTTTTGTAGTATTTGCAAGTGGATATTTGGAGCGATTTGTGGAGTATGGTGGAAAATGAAATATCTTCACATACAAACTAGACAGAAGCATTCTCAGAAACTGCTTTGTGATGTGTGCATTTAAGTCACAGACTTGAAACTTCCTTTAGGTAGAGCAGTGTTGAAACACACTTTTTGTATAATCTACAAGTGTTCTTTGGAGTGCTTTGTTGCCTATGTTGGAAAAAGAAATATCTTCACATAAAAACTAGACAGAAGCATTCTCAGAAACTCCTTTGTGATGGGTTTGTTCAATTCACATTGTTGAACCTTTCTTTTGATACAGCAGTGTTGAAACAAACATTTTGTAGAATCTGCAAGTGTTCATTTCAAATGCTTTGTGGCCTATGTTGGAAAAAGTGATATCTTCACCTAAAAAATAGACAGAAGCATTCTCAGGAACTGCTTTGTAATATGTGCATTCAACTCACAGAGTTGAACCTTCCTTTTGAGAGAGCGGTTTTGAAACAGTCTTTTTGTAGTATCTGCAAGTGGATATTTGGAGCGATTTGAGGTCTAAGAAGGAAAAGGAAGTACCTTCAAATAAAAACTAGACAGAAGCTTTCTCAGAAACTGCTTTGTGATGTGTGCATTTAACTCAAAATCTTGATCCTTTCTTTTGATAGAGCAGTGTTGAAACACACTTTTTGTAGAACCTGCTAGTGTTCATTTGGAGAGATTTCTTGCCTATGGTGGAAAAAGGATTATCTTCTCTTAAAAACTAGAGAGAAGCATTCTTAGAAACTGCTTTGTGATGTGTGTGTTCAATTCACAGAGTTGAAACTTTCCTTTGACAGAGCAGGTTTGAAACACTGCTTCTGTAGAATCTGCTTGTGGATATTTGGAGCTCCTTGAGGAATACGTTGTAAAAGGCATATCTTCACATACAAACTAGACAGAAGCATTCTCAGAAACTGCTTTGTGATGTGTGCATTCAACTCACACAGTTGAACCTTCCATTTGAGAGAGCAGTGTTGAAACGGTCTTTTTATAGTATCTTCAAGTGGATATTTGGAGCGATTTGAGGCCTATGATGGAAAAGGAAATATCTTCACATACAAACTAGACAGAAGCATTCTCAGAAACTCCGTTGTGATGTGTGCATTCAACTCACAGAGTTGAACCTTCCTTTTGAGAGAGCAGTGTTGAAACGGTCTTTTGTAGTATCTGCAAGTGGATATTTGGAGTGATTTGTGGCCTATGATGGAAAAGGAAATATCTTCACATACAAACTAGACAGAAGCAGTCTCAGGAACTGCTTTGTGATGTGTGCATTCAACTCACAGATTTGAACTTTCCTTTTGAGAGGGAGGTTTTGAAACAGTCTTTTTGTAGTATCTGCAAGTGGATATTTGTAGTGACTTGGGGCCTCAGATGGAAAAGGAAATACCTTTACATACAAAGTAGACAGAAGTATTCTCAGAAACTCCATTGTGAAGTGTGCACTCAACTCACAGAGTTGAACCTTCCTTTTGAGAGAGCAGTTTTGAAACAGTCTTTTTGTAATGTCTGCAAGTGGATATTTGGAGCGATTCGAGTACTATGATGGAAAAGGAAATATCTTCACATACAAACTAAACAGAAGCATTCTCAGAAACTTCTTGTGATGTGTGCGTTCACCTAACAGAGTGGAACCGTTCTTTTGATAGAGCCGTTTTGAATCAGTCTTTTGGTAGGACCTGCAAGTTTTCATTTGGAGCGCTTTGAAGCCCATGGTGGAAAAGGGACTATCTTCACAAAAAACTAGGCAGAAGCCTTCTCAGGAACTTCATTGAGATGTGTGCATTCAACTAACAGAGTTGAAACTGTCTTTTGACAGAGGAGGAATGAAACACTCCTTTTGTAGTATCTGATTGTGTATATTTGGAACTCTTTGAGTTATTCGTTGGAAACGGGTATCTTCACATAAAAAGTAGACCCAAGCATTCTCAGAAGGTTCTTTGTGATGTGGGCGTTCAACTCACAGACTTGAAACTTTCTTTTGATAGAGCAGTGTTGAAACACACTTTTTGTAGAATCCACAAGTATTCCTTTGGAGCGCTTTGTTGCCTATGTGGGAAAAAGGAATATCTTCACTTAAAAACTAGACAGAAGCATTCTCTGAAACTCCTCTGTGAAGTGTGTGTTCAATTCACATCGTTGAACCTTTCTTTTGATAGAGCAGTGTTGAAACATACTTTTTGTAGAATCTGCAAGTGTCCATTTCGAGTTCTTTTGTGCGTATGTTGGAAAAAGTGATATCTTCACCTGAAAAATAGACAGAAGCATTCCAGAAACTGCTTTGTAACATGTGCATTCAACTCACAGTGTTGAACCTTCCTTTTGAGAGAGCGGTTTTGAAACAGTCTTTTTGTAGTATCTGCAAGTGGATATTTGCAGTGATTTGAGGCCGAAGAAGGAAAAGGAAATACCTTCAAATAAAAAACTAGACGGAAGCATTTTCGGAAACTGCCTTGTGATGTGTGCATTCAACTCACAGAGTTGAACTTTCCTTTTGAGAGAGAAGTTTTGAAACAGTCTTTTTGTAGTATTTGCAAGTGGATATTTGGAGCGATTTGTGGAGTATGGTGGAAAATGAAATATCTTCACATACAAACTAGACAGAGGCATTGTCAGAAACTGCTTTGTGATGTGTGCATTTAAGTCACAGACTTGAAACTTCCTTTAGGTAGAGCAGTGTTGAAACACACTTTTTGTATAATCTACAAGTGTTCTTTGGAGTGCTTTGTTGCCTATGTTGGAAAAAGAAATATCTTCACATAAAAACTAGACAGAAGCATTCTCAGAAACTCCTTTGTGATGGGTTTGTTCAATTCACATTGTTGAACCTTTCTTTTGATACAGCAGTGTTGAAACAAACATTTTGTAGAATCTGCAAGTGTTCATTTCAAATGCTTTGTGGCCTATGTTGGAAAAAGTGATATGTTCTCCTAAAAAATAGACAGAAGCATTCTCAGGAACTGCTTTGTAATATGTGCATTCAACTCACAGAGTTGAACCTTCCTTTTGAGAGAGCGGTTTTGAAACAGTCTTTTTGTAGTATCTGCAAGTGGATATTTGGAGCGATTTGAGGTCTAAGAAGGAAAAGGAAGTACCTTCAAATAAAAACTAGACAGAAGCTTTCTCAGAAACTGCTTTGTGATGTGTGCATTTAACTCAAAGTCTTGATCCTTACTTTTGTTAGAGCAGTGTTGAAACACACTTTTTGTAGAACCTGCTAGTGTTCATTTGGAGAGATTTGTTGCCTATGGTGGAAAAAGGATTATCTTCTCTTAAAAACTAGACAGAAACATTCTTAGAAACTGCTTTGTGATGTGTGTGTTCAATTCACAGAGTTGAAACTTTCCTTTGCTAGAGCAGTTTTGAAGCACTGCTTTTGTAGAATCTGCTTGTGGATATTGGGAGCTCCTTGAGGAATACGTTGTAAAAGGCATATCTTCACATACAAACTAGAGAGAAGCTTTCTCAGAAACTGCTTTATGATGTGTGCATTTAACTCAAAGTCTTGATCTTTACTTTTGTTAGAGCAGTGTTGAGACACACTTTTTGTAGAACCTGGTAGTGTTCATTTGGAGAGATTTGTTGCCTATGGTGGAAAAAGGATTATCTTCTCTTAAAAACTAGACAGAAGCATTCTTAGAAACTGCTTTGTGATGTGTGTGTTCAATTCACAGAGTTGAAAATTTCCTTTGACAGAGCAGGTTTGAAATACTGCTTTTGTAGAATCTGCTTGTGGATATTGGGAGCTCCTTGAGGAATACGTTGTAAAAGGCATATCTTCACATACTAACTAGACAGAAGCATTCTCAGAAACTGCTTTGTGATGTGTGCATTCAACCGACAGATTTGAACTTTCCTTTGGAGAGGGAGGTTTTGAAACAGTCTTTTTGTAGTATCTGCAAGTGGATATTTGTAGTGTCGTGGGGCCTCAGGTGGAAAAGGAAATACCTTCACATACAAAGTAGACAGAAGTATTCTCAGAAACTCCATTGTGATGTGTGCACTCAACTCACAGAGTTGAACCTTCCTTTTGAGAGAGAGTTTTGAAACAGTCTTTTTGTAACGTCTGCAGGTGGATATTTGGAGCGATTCGTGTAATATGATGGAAAAGGAAATATCTTCACATACAAACTAAACAGAAGCATTCTCCGAAACTTCTTGTGACGTGTGCATTCCCCTAACAGAGTGGAACCGTTCTTTTGATAGAGCAGTTTTGAATCAGTCTTTTGGTAAGACCTGCAAGTTTTCATTTGGAGCGCTTTGAAGCCCATGGTGGAAAAGGGACTATCTTCACAGAAAACTAGGCAGAAGCCTTCTCAGGAACTTCACTGAGATGTGTGCATTCAACTAACAGAGTTGAAACTGTCTTTTGACAGAGGAGGAATGAAACACTCCTTTTGTAGTATCTGATTGTGTGTATTTGGAACTCTTTGAGTTATTCGTTGGAAACGGGTATCTTCACATAAAAAGTAGACCCAAGCATTCTCAGAAGGTACTTTGTGATGTGTGCGTTCAACTCACAGACTTGAAACTTTCTTTTGATAGAGCAGTGTTGAAACACAGTTTTTGTAGAATCCACAAGTATTCATTTGGAGCGCTTTGTTGCCTATGTGGGAAAAAGGAATATCTTCACTTAAAAACTAGACAGAAGCATTCTCTGAAACTCCTCTGTGAAGTGTGTGTTCAATTCACATCGTTGAACCTTTCTTTTGATAGAGCAGTGTTGAAACATACTTTTTGTAGAATCTGCAAGTGTCCATTTCGAGTTCTTTTGTGCGTATGCTGGAAAAAGTGATATCTTCACCTGAAAAATAGACAGAAGCATTCCAGAAACTGCTTTGTAACATGTGCATTCAACTCACAGTGTTGAACCTTCCTTTTGAGAGAGCGGTTTTGAAACGGTCTTTTTGTAGTATCCGCAAGTGGATATTTGCAGTGATTTGAGGCCGAAGAAGGAAAAGGAAATACCTTCAAATAAAAAACTAGACGGAAGCATTTTCAGAAACTGCCTTGTGATGTGTGCATTCAACTCACAGAGTTGAACCTTCCTTTTGAGAGAGAAGTTTTGAAACAGTCTTTTTGTAGTATTTGCAAGTGGATATTTGGAGCGATTTGTGGAGTATGGTGGAAAATGAAATATCTTCACATACAAACTAGACAGAAGCATTCTCAGAAACTGCTTTGTGATGTGTGCATTTAAGTCACAGACTTGAAACTTCCTTTAGGTAGAGCAGTGTTGAAACACACTTTTTGTATAATCTACAAGTGTTCTTTGGAGTGCTTTGTTGCCTATGTTGGAAAAAGAAATATCTTCACATAAAAACTAGACAGAGGCATTCTCAGAAACTCCTTTGTAATGGGTGTGTTCAATTCACATTGTTGAACCTTTCTTTTGATACAGCAGTGTTGAAACAAACATTTTGTAGAATCTGCAAGTGTTCATTTCAAATGCTTTGTGGCCTATGTTGGAAAAAGTGATATCTTCACCTAAAAAATAGACAGAGGCATTCTCAGGAACTGCTTTGTAATATGTGCATTCAACTCACAGAGTTGAACCTTCCTTTTGAGAGAGCGGTTTTGAAACAGTCTTTTTGTAGTATCTGCAAGTGGATATTTGGAGCGATTTGAGGTCTAAGAAGGAAAAGGAAGTACCTTCAAATAAACACTAGACAGAAGCTTTCTCAGAAACTGCTTTGTGATGTGTGCATTTAACTCAAAGTCTTGATCCTTACTTTTGTTAGAGCAGTGTTGAAACACACTTTTTGTAGAACCTGGTAGTGTTCATTTGGAGAGATTTGTTGCCTATGGTGGAAAAAGGATTATCTTCTCTTAAAAACTAGACAGAAGCATTCTTAGAAACTGCTTTGTGATGTGTGTGTTCAATTCACATAGTTGAAACTTTCCTTTGATAGAGCAGGTTTGAAACACTGCTTTTGTAGAATCTGCTTGTGGATATTGGGAGCTCCTTGAGGAATACGTTGTAAAAGGCATATCTTCACATACAAACTAGACAGAAGCATTCTCAGAAACTGCTTTGTGATGTGTGCATTCAACTCACAGAGTTGAACCTTCCATTTGAGAGAGCAGTGTTGAAACGGTCTTTTTGTAGTATCTTCAATTGGATATTTGGAGCGATTTGAGGCCTATGATGGAAAAGGAAATATCTTCACATACAAACTAGACAGAAGCATTCTCAGAACCTGCTTTGTGATGTGTGCATTCAACCCACAGAGTTGAACCTTCCTTTTGAGAGAGCAGTGTTGAAACGGTCTTTTGTAGTATCTCCAAGTGGATATTTGGAGCGATTTGAGGGCTATGATGGAAAAGGAAATATCTTCACATACAAACTAGACAGAAGCATTCTCAGAAACTGCTTTGTGATGTGGCATTCAACCAACAGATTTGAACTTTCCTTTGGAGAGGGACGTTTTGAAACAGTCTTTTTGTAGTATCTGCAAGTGGATATTTGTAGTGACTTGGGGCCTCAGCTGGAAAAGGAAATACCTTCACATACAAAGTAGACAGAAGTATTCTCCGAAACTCCATTGTGATGTGTGCACTCAACTCACAGAGTTGAACCTTCCTTTTGAGAGAGCAGTTTTGAAACAGTCTTTTTGTAACGTCTGCAGGTGGATATTTGGAGCGATTCGTGTAGTATGATGGAAAAGGAAATATCTTCACATACAAACTAAACAGAAGCATTCTCAGAAACTTCTTGTGATGTGTGCGTTCACCTAACAGAGTGGAACCGTTCTTTTGATAGAGCAGTTTTGAATCAGTCTTTTGGTAGGACCTGCAAGTTTTCATTTGGAGCGCTTTGAAGCCTATGGTGGAAAAGGGAATATCTTCACAAAAAACTAGGCAGAAGCCTTCTCAGGAACTTCATTGAGATGTGTGCATTCAACTAACAGAGTTGAAACTGTCTTTTGACAGAGGAGGAATGAAACACTCCTTTTGTAGTATCTGATTGTGTATATTTGGAACTCTTTGAGTTATTCGTTGGAAACGGGTATCTTCACATAAAAAGTAGACCCAAGCATTCTCAGAAGGTTCTTTGTGATGTGTGCGTTCAACTCACAGACTTGAAACTTTCTTTTGATAGAGCAGTGTTGAAACACACTTTTTGTAGAATCCACAAGTATTCATTTGGAGCGCTTTGTTGCCTATGTGGGAAAAAGGAATATCTTCACTTAAAAACTAGACAGAAGCATTCTCTGAAACTCCTCTGTGAAGTGTGTGTTCAATTCACATCGTTGAACCTTTATTTTGATGGAGCAGTGTTGAAACATACTTTTTGTAGAATCTGCAAGTGTCCATTTCGAGTTCTTTTGTGCGTATGTTGGAAAAAGTGATATCTTCACCTGAAAAATAGACAGAAGCATTCCAGAAACTGCTTTGTAACATGTGCATTCAACTCACAGTGTTGAACCTTCCTTTTGAGGGAGCGGTTTTGAAACAGTCTTTTTGTAGTATCTGCAAGTGGATATTTGCAGTGATTTGAGGCCGAAGAAAGAAAAGGAAATACCTTCAAATAAAAAACCAGACGGAAGCATTTTCAGAAACTGCCTTGTGATGTGTGCATTCAACTCACAGAGTTGAACCTTCCTTTTGAGAGAGAAGTTTTGAAACAGTCTTTTTGTAGTATTTGCAAGTGGATATTTGGAGCGATTTGTGGAGTATGGTGGAAAATGAAATATCTTCACATACAAACTAGACAGAAGCATTCTCAGAAACTGCTTTGTGATGTGTGCATTTAAGTCACAGACTTGAAACTTCCTTTAGGTAGAGCAGTGTTGAAACACACTTTTTGTATAATCTACAAGTGTTCTTTGGAGTGCTTTGTTGCCTATGTTGGAAAAAGAAATATCTTCACATAAAAACTAGACAGAAGCATTCTCAAAAACTCCTTTGTGATGGGTGTGTTCAATTCACATTGTTGAACCTTTCTTTTGATACAGCAGTGTTGAAACAAACATTTTGTAGAATCTGCAAGTGTTCATTTCAAATGCTTTGTGGCCTATGTTGGAAAAAGTGATATCTTCACCTAAAAAATAGACAGAAGCATTCTCAGGAACTGCTTTGTAATATGTGCATTCAACTCACAGAGTTGAACCTTCCTTTTGAGAGAGCGGTTTTGAAACAGTCTTTTTGTAGTATGTGCAAGTGGATATTTGGAGCGATTTGAGGTCTAAGAAGGAAAAGGAAGTACCTTCAAATAAAAACTAGACAGATAAGCTTTCTCAGCAAACTGCTTTGTGATGTGTGCATTTAACTCAAAGTCTTGATCCTTACTTTTGTTAGAGCAGTGTTGAAACACACTTTTTGTAGAACCTGGTAGTGTTCATTTGGAGAGATTTGTTGCCTATGGTGGAAAAAGGATTATCTTCTCTTAAAAACTAGACAGAAGCATTCTTAGAAACTGCTTTGTGATGTGTGTGTTCAATTCACAGAGTTGAAACTTTCCTTTGATAGAGCAGTTTTGAAACACTGCTTTTGTAGAATCTGCTTGTGGATATTGGGAGCTCTTTGAGGAATACGTTGTAAAAGGCATATCTTCACATACAAACTAGACAGAAGCATTCTCAGAAACTGCTTTGTGATGTGTGCATTCAACTCACAGAGTTGAACCTTCCATTTGAGAGAGCAGTGTTGAAACAGTCTTTTTGTAGTATCTGCAAGTGGATATTTGGAGCGATTTGAGGCCTATGATGGAAAAGGAAATATCTTCACATACAAACCAGACAGAAGCATTCTCAGAAACTGCTTTGTGATGTGCGCATTCAACCCACAGAGTTGAACCTTCCTTTTGAGAGAGCAGTGTTGAAACGGTCTTTTGTAGTATCTGCAAGTGGATATTTGGAGCGATTTGAGGCCTATGATGGAAAAGGAAATATCTTCACATACAAACTAGACAGAAGCATTCTCAGAAACTGCTTTGTGATGTGTGCATTCAACCGACAGATTTGAACTTTCCTTTTGAGAGGGAGGGTTTGAAACAGTCTTTTTGCAGTATCTGCAAGTGGATATTTGTAGTGACTTGGGGCCTCAGGTGGAAAAGGAAATACCTTCACATACAAAGTAGACAGAAGTATTCTCAGAAACTCCATTGTGATGTGTGCACTCAACTCACAGAGTTGAACCTTCCTTTTGAGAGAGCAGTTTTGAAACAGTCTTTTTGTAACGTCTGCAGGTGGATATTTGGAGCAATTCGAGTAGTATGATGGAAAAGGAAATATCTTCACATACAAACTAAACAGAAGCATTCTCAGAAAGTTCTTGTGATGTGTGCGTTCACCTAACAGAGTGGAACCGTTCTTTTGATAGAGCAGTTTTGAATCAGTCTTTTGGTAGGACCTGCAAGTTTTCATTTGGAGCGCTTTGAAGCCCATGGTGGAAAAGGGACTATCTTCACAAAAAACTAGGCAGAAGCCTTCTCAGGAACTTCATTGAGATGTGTGCATTCAACTAACAGAGTTGAAACTGTCTTTTGACAGAGCAGGAATGAAACACTCCTTTTGTAGTATCTGATTGTGTGTATTTGGAACTCTTTGAGTTATTCGTTGGAAACGGGTATCTTCACATAAAAAGTAGACCCAAGCATTCTCAGAAGGTTCTTTGTGATGTGTGCGTTCAACTCACAGACTTGAAACTTTCTTTTGATAGAGCAGTGTTGAAACACACTTTTTGTAGAATCCACAAGTATTCGTTTGGAGCGTTTTGTTGCCTATGTGGGAAAAAGGAATATCTTCACTTAAAAACTAGACAGAAGCATTCTCTGAAACTCCTCTGTGAAGTGTGTGTTCAATTCACATCGTTGAACCTTTCTTTTGATAGAGCAGTGTTGAAACATACTTTTTGTAGAATCTGCAAGTGTCCATTTCGAGTTCTTTTGTGCGTATGCTGGAAAAAGTGATATCTTCACCTGAAAAATAGACAGAAGCATTCCAGAAACTGCTTTGTAACATGTGCATTCAACTCACAGTGTTGAACCTTCCTTTTCAGAGAGCGGTTTTCAAACAGTCTTTTTGTAGTATCTGCAAGTGGATATTTGCAGTGATTTGAGGCCGAAGAAGGAAAAGGAAACACCTTCAAATAAAAAACTAGACGGAAGCATTTTCAGAAACTGCCTTGTGATGTGTGCATTCAACTCACAGAGTTGAACCTTCCTTTTGAGAGAGAAGTTTTGAAACAGTCTTTTTGTAGTATTTGCAAGTGGATATTTGGAGCGATTTGTGGAATATGGTGGAAAATGAAATATCTTCTCATACAAACTAGACAGAAGTATTCTCAGAAACTGCTTTGTGATGTGTGCATTTAAGTCACAGACTTGAAACTTCCTTTAGGTAGAGCAGTGTTGAAACACACTATTTGTATAATCTACAAGTGTTCTTTGGAGTGCTTTGTTGCCTATGTTGGAAAAAGAAATATCTTCACATAAAAACTAGACAGAAGCATTCTCAGAAACTCCTTTGTGATGGGTGTGTTCAATTCACATTGTTGAACCTTTCTTTTGATACAGCAGTGTTGAAACAAACATTTTGTAGAATCTGCAAGTGTTCATTTCAAATGCTTTGTGGCCTATGTTGGAAAAAGTGATATCTTCACCTAAAAAATAGACAGAGGCATTCTCAGGAACTGCTTTGTAATATGTGCATTCAACTCAAAGAGTTGAACCTTCCTTTTGAGAGAGCGGTTTTGAAACAGTCTTTTTGTAGTATCTGCAAGTGGATATTTGGAGCGATTTGAGGTCTAAGAAAGAAAAGGAAGTACCTTCAAATAAAAACTAGACAGAAGCTTTCTCAGAAACTGCTTTATGATGTGTGCATTTAACTCAAAGTCTTGATCCTTACTTTTGTTAGAGCAGTGTTGAAACACACTTTTTGTAGAACCTGGTAGTGTTCATTTGGAGAGATTTGTTGCCTATGGTGGAAAAAGGATTATCTTCTCTTAAAAACTAGACAGAAGCATTGTTAGAAACTGCTTTGTGATGTGTGTGTTCAATTCACAGAGTTGAAACTTTCCTTTGACAGAGCAGGTTTGAAACACTGCTTTTGTAGAATCTGCTTGTGGATATTGGGAGCTCCTTGAGGAATACGTTGTAAAAGGCATATCGTCACATACAAACTAGACAGACGCATTCTCAGAAACTCCGTTGTGATGTGTGCATTCAACTCACAGTGTTGAACCTTCCATTTGAGAGAGCAGTGTTGAAACAGTCTTTTTGTAGTATCTGCAAGTGGATATTTGGAGCGATTTGAGGCCTATGATGGAAAAGGAAATATCTTCACATACAAACTAGACAGAAGCATTCTCAGAAACTGCTTTGTGATGTGTGCATTCAACCCACAGAGTTGAACCTTCCTTTTGAGAGAGCAGTGTTGAAACGGTCTTTTGTAGTATCTGCAAGTGGATATTTGGAGCGATTTGAGGCCTATGATGGAAAAGGAAATATCTTCACATACAAACTAGACAGAAGCATTCTCAGAAACTGCTTTGTGATGTGTGCATTCAACCGACAGATTTGAACTTTCCTTTTGAGAGGGAGGTTTTGAAACAGTCTTTTTGTAGTATCTGCAAGTGGATATTTGTAGTGACTTGGGGCCTCAGGTAGAAAAGGAAATACCTTCACATACAAAGTAGACAGAAGTATTCTCAGAAACTCCATTGTGATGTGTGCACTCAACTCACAGAGTTGAACCTTCCTTTTGAGAGAGCAGTTTTGAAACAGTCTTTTTGTAACGTCTGCAGGTGGATATTTGGAGCGATTCGTGTAGTATGATGGAAAAGGAAATATCTTCACATACAAACTAAACAGAAGCATTCTCAGAAACTTCTTGTGATGTGTGCATTCACCTAACAGAGTGGAACCGTTCTTTTGATAGAGCCGTTTTGAATCAGTCTTTTGGTAGGACCTGCAAGTCTTCATTTGGAGCGCTTTGAAGCCCATGGTGGAAAAGGGACTATCATCTTCACAAAAAACTAGGCAGAAGCCTTCTCAGGAACTTCATTGAGATGTGTGCATTCAACTAACAGAGTTGAAACTGTCTTTTGACAGAGCAGGAATGAAACACTCCTTTCGTAGTATCTGATTGTGTATATTTGGAACTCTTTGAGTTATTCGTTGGAAACGGGTATCTTCACATAAAAAGTAGACCCAAGCATTCTCAGAAGGTTCTTTGTGATGTGTGCGTTCAACTCACAGACTTGAAACTTTCTTTTGATAGAGCAGTGTTGAAACACACTTTTTGTAGAATCCACAAGTATTCCTTTGGAGCGCTTTGTTGCCTGTGTGGGAAAAAGGAATATCTTCACTTAAAAACTAGACAGAAGCATTCTCTGAAACTCCTCTGTGAAGTGTGTGTTCAATTCACATCGTTGAACCTTTCTTTTGATAGAGCAGTGTTGAAACATACTTTTTGTAGAATCTGCAAGTGTCCATTTCGAGTTCTTTTGTGCGTATGCTGGAAAAAGTGATATCTTCACCTGAAAAATAGACAGAAGCATTCCAGAAACTGCTTTGTAACATGTGCATTCAACTCACAGTGTTGAACCTTCCTTTTGAGAGAGCGGTTTTGAAACAGTCTTTTTGTAGTATCTGCAAGTGGATATTTGCAGTGATTTGAGGCCGAAGAAGGAAAAGGAAATACCTTCAAATAAAAAACTAGACGGAAGCATTTTCAGAAACTGCCTTGTGATGTGTGCATTCAACTCACAGAGTTGAACCTTCCTTTTGAGAGAGAAGTTTTGAAACAGTCTTTTTGTAGTATTTGCAAGTGGATATTTGGAGCGATTTGTGGAGTATGGTGGAAAAAGAAATATCTTCACATACAAACTAGACAGAAGCATTGTCAGAAACTGCTTTGTGATGTGTGCATTTAAGTCACAGACTTGAAACTTCCTTTAGGTAGAGCAGTGTTGAAACACACTTTTTGTATAATCTACAAGTGTTCTTTGGAGTGCTTTGTTGCCTATGTTGGAAAAAGAAATATCTTCACATAAAAACTAGACAGAAGCATTCTCAGAAACTCCCTTGTAATGGGTTTGTTCAATTCACATTGTTGAACCTTTCTTTTGATACAGCAGTGTTGAAACAAACATTTTGTAGAATCTGCAAGGGTTCATTTCAAATGCTTTGCGGCCTATGTTGGAAAAAGTGATATCTTCACCTAAAAAATAGACAGAAGCATTCTCAGGAACTGCTTTGTAATATGTGTATTCAACTCACAGAGTTGAACCTTCCTTTTGAGAGAGCGGTTTTGAAACACTCTTTTTGTAGTATCTGCAAGTGGATATTTGGAGCGATTTGAGGTCTAAGAAGGAAAAGGATGTACCTTCAAATAAAAACTAGACAGAAGCTTTCTCAGAAACTGCTTTGTGATGTGTGCATTTAACTCAAAGTCTTGATCCTTTCTTTTGATAGAGCAGTGTTGAAACACACTTTTTGTAGAACCTGCTAGTGTTCATTTGGAGAGATTTGTTGCCTATGGTGGAAAAAGGATTATCTTCTCTTAAAAACTAGAGAGAAGCATTCTTAGAAACTGCTTTGTGATGTGTGTGTTCAATTCACAGAGTTGAAACTTTCCTTTGACAGAGCAGGTTTGAAACACTGCTTCTGTAGAATCTGCTTGTGGATATTGGGAGCTCCTTGAGGAATACGTTGTAAAAGGCATATCTTCACATACAAACTAGACAGAAGTATTCTCAGAAACTCCGTTGTGATGTGTGCATTCAACTCACAGAGTTGAACCTTCCATTTGAGAGAGCAGTGTTGAAACAGTCTTTTTGTAGTATCTGCAAGTGGATATTTGGAGCCATTTGAGGCCTATGATGGAAAAGGAAATATCTTCACATACAAACTAGACAGAAGCATTCTCAGAAACTGCTTTGTGATGTGTGCATTCAACCCACAGAGTTGAACCTTCCTTTTGAGAGAGCAGTGTTGAAACGCTCTTTTGTAGTATCTGCAAGTGGATATTTGGAGCGATTTGAGGCCTATGATGGAAAAGGAAATATCTTCACATACAAACTAGACAGAAGCATTCTCAGAAACTGCTTTGTGATGTGTGCATTCAACCGACAGATTTGAACTTTCCTTTTGAAGGGGAGGTTTTGAAACAGTCTTTTTGTAGGATCTGCAAGTGGATATTTGTGGTGACTTGGGGCCTCAGATGGAAAAGGAAATACCTTCACATACAAACTAGACAGAAGTATTCTCAGAAACTCCATTGTGATGTGTGACCTCAACTCACAGAGTTGAACCTTCCTTTTGAGAGAGCAGTTTTGAAACAGTCTTTTTGTAATGTCTGCAGGTGGATATTTGGAGCGATTCGAGTACTATGATGGAAAAGGAAATATCTTCACATACAAACTAAACAGAAGCATTCTCAGAAACTTGTTGTGATGTGTGCATTCACCTAAAAGAGTGGAACCGTTCTTTTGATAGAGCAGTTTTGAATCAGTCTTTTGGTAGGACCTGCAAGTTTTCATTTGGAGCGCTTTGACGCCCATGGTGGAAAAGGGACTATCTTCACAAAAAACTAGGCAGAAGCCTTCTCAGGAACTTCATTGAGATGTGTGCATTCAACTAACAGAGTTGAAACTGTCTTTTGACAGAGGAGGAATGAAACACTCCTTTTGTAGTATCTGATTGTGTATATTTGGAACTCTTTGAGTTATTCGTTGGAAACGGGTATCTTCACCTAAAAAGTAGACCCAAGCATTCTCAGAAGGTTCTTTGTGATGTGTGCGTTCAACTCACAGACTTGAAACTTTCTTTTGATAGAGCAGTGTTGAAACACACTTTTTGTAGAATCCACAAGTATTCGTTTGGAGCGCTTTGTTGCCTACGTGGGAAAAAGGAATATCTTCACTTAAAAACTAGACAGAAGCATTCTCTGAAACTCCTCTGTGAAGTGTGTGTTCATTTCACATCGTTGAACCTTTCTTTTGATAGAGCAGTGTTGAAACATACTTTTTGTAGAATCTGCAAGTGTCCATTTCGAGTTCTTTTGTGCGTATGTTGGAAAAAGTGATATCTTCACCTGAAAAATAGACAGAAGCATTCCAGAAACTGCTTCGTAACATGTGCATTCAACTCACAGTGTTGAACCTTCCTTTTGAGAGAGCGGTTTTGAAACAGTCTTTTTGTAGTATCTGCAAGTGGATATTTGCAGTGATTTGAGGCCGAAGAAGGAAAAGGAAATACCTTCAAATAAAAAACTAGACTGAAGCATTTTCAGAAACTGCCTTGTGATGTGTGCATTCAACTCACAGAGTTGAACCTTCCTTTTGAGAGAGAAGTTTTGAAACAGTCTTTTTGTAGTATTTGCAAGTGGATATTTGGAGCGATTTGTGGAGTATGGTGGAAAATGAAATATCTTCACATACAAACTAGACAGAAGCATTGTCAGAAACTGCTTTGTGATGTGTGCATTTAACTCACAGACTTGAAACTTCCTTTAGATAGAGCAGTGTTGAAACACACTTTTTGTATAATCTACAAGTGTTCTTTGGAGTGCTTTGTTGCCTATGTTGGAAAAAGAAATATCTTCACATAAAAACTAGACAGAAGCATTCTCAGAAACTCCTTTGTGATGGGTGTGTTCAATTCACATTGTTGAACCTTTCTTTTGATACAGCAGTGTTGAAACAAACATTTTGTAGAATCTGCAAGTGTTCATTTCAAATGCTTTGTGGCCTATGTTGGAAAAAGTGATATCTTCACCTAAAAAATAGACAGAAGCATTCTCAGGAACTGCTTTGTAATATGTGCATTCAACTCACAGAGTTGAACCTTCCTTTTGAGAGAGCGGTTTTGAAACAGTCTTTTTGTAGTATCTGCAAGTGGATATTTGGAGCGATTTGAGGTCTAAGAAGGAAAAGGAAGTACCTTCAAATAAAAACTAGACAGAAGCTTTCTCAGAAACTGCTTTGTGATGTGCGCATTTAACTCAAAGTCTTGATCCTTACTTTTGTTAGAGCAGTGTTGAAACACACTTTTTGTAGAACCTGGTAGTGTTCATTTGGAGAGATTTGTTGCCTATGGTGGAAAAAGGATTATCTTCTCTTAAAAACTAGACAGAAGCATTCTTAGAAACTGCTTTGTGATGTGTGTGTTCAATTCACAGAGTTGAAACTTTCCTTTGATAGAGCAGGTTTGAAACACTGCTTTTGTAGAATCTGCTTGTGGATATTGGGAGCTCCTTCAGGAATACGTTGTAAAAGACATATCTTCACATACAAACTAGACAGAAGCATTCTCAGAAACTGCTTTGTGATGTGTGCATTCAACTCACAGAGTTGAACCTTCCATTTGAGAGAGCAGTGTTGAAACAGTCTTTTTGTAGTATCTTCAAGTGGATATTTGGAGCGATTTGAGGCCTATGATGGAAAAGGAAATATCTTCACATACAAACTAGACAGAAGCATTCTCAGAAACTACTTCCAGATGTGTGCATTCAACCCACAGAGTTGAACCTTCCTTTTGAGAGAGCAGTGTTGAAACGGTCTTTTGAAGTATCTGCAAGTGGATATTTGGAGCGATTTGAGGCCTATGATGGAAAAGGAAATATCTTCACATACAAACTAGACAGAAGCATTCTCAGAAACTGCTTTGTGATGTGTGCATTCAACCGACAGATTTGAACTTTCCTTTTGAGAGGGTGGTTTTGAAACATTCTTTTTGTAGTATCTGCAAGTGGATATTTGTAGTGACTTGGGGCCTCAGGTGGAAAAGGAAATACCTTCACATACAAAGTAGACAGAAGTATTCTCAGAAACTCCATTGTGATGTGTGCACTCAACTCACAGAGTTGAACCTTCCTTTTGAGAGAGCAGTTTTGAAACAGTCTTTTTGTAATGTCTGCAGGTGGATATTTGGAGCGATTCGAGTACTATGATGGAAAAGGAAATATCTTCACATACAAACTAAACAGAAGCATTCTCAGAAACTTGTTGTGATGTGTGCATTCACCTAAAAGAGTGGAACCGTTCTTTTGATAGAGCAGTTTTGAATCAGTCTTTTGGTAGGACCTGCAAGTTTTCATTTGGAGCGCTTTGACGCCCATGGTGGAAAAGGCACTATCTTCACAAAAAACTAGGCAGAAGCCTTCTCAGGAACTTCATTGAGATGTGTGCATTCAACTAACAGAGTTGAAACTGTCTTTTGACAGAGGAGGAATGAAACACTCCTTTTGTAGTATCTGATTGTGTGTATTTGGAACTCTTTGAGTTATTCGTTGGAAACGGGTATCTTCACATAAAAAGTAGACCCAAGCATTCTCAGAAGGTTCTTTGTGATGTGTGCGTTCAACTCACAGACTTGAAACTTTCTTTTGATAGAGCAGTGTTGAAACACACTTTTTGTAGAATCCACAAGTATTCGTTTGGAGCGCTTTGTTGCCTATGTGGGAAAAAGGAATATCTTCACTTAAAAACTAGACAGAAGCATTCTCTGAAACTCCTCTGTGAAGTGTGTGTTCAATTCACATCGTTGAACCTTTCTTTTGATAGAGCAGTGTTGAAACATACTTTTTGTAGAATCTGCAAGTGTCCATTTCGAGTTCTTTTGTGTGTATGTTGGAAAAAGTGATATCTTCACCTGAAAAATAGACAGAAGCATTCCAGAAACTGCTTTGTAACATGTGCATTCAACTCACAGTGTTGAACCTTCCTTTTGAGAGAGCGGTTTTGAAACAGTCTTTTTGTAGTATCTGCAAGTGGATATTTGCAGTGATTTGAGGCCGAAGAAGGAAAAGGAAATACCTTCAAATAAAAAACTAGACGGAAGCATTTTCAGAAACTGCCTTGTGATGTGTGCATTCAACTCACAGAGTTGAACCTTCCTTTTGAGAGAGAAGTTTTGAAACAGTCTTTTTGTAGTATTTGCAAGTGGATATTTGGAGCGATTTGTGGAGTATGGTGGAAAATGAAATATCTTCACATACAAACTAGACAGAAGCATTGTCAGAAACTGCTTTGTGATGTGTGCATTTAAGTCACAGACTTGAAACTTCCTTTAGGTAGAGCAGTGTTGAAACACACTTTTTGTATAATCTACAAGTGTTCTTTGGAGTGCTTTGTTGCCTATGTTGGAAAAAGAAACAACTTCACATAAAAACTAGACAGAAGCATTCTCAGAAACTCCTTTGTGATGGGTGTGTTCAATTCACATTGTTGAACCTTTCTTTTGATACAGCAGTGTTGAAACAAACATTTTGTAGAATCTGCAAGTGTTCATTTCAAATGCTTTGTGGCCTATGTTGGAAAAAGTGATATCTTCACCTAAAAAATAGACAGAAGCATTCTCAGGAACTGCTTTGTAATATGTGCATTCAACTCACAGAGTTGAACCTTCCTTTTGAGAGAGCGGTTTTGAAACAGTCTTTTTGTAGTATCTGCAAGTGGATATTTGGAGCGATTTGAGGTCTAAGAAGGAAAAGGAAGTACCTTCAAATAAAAACTAGACAGAAGCTTTCTCAGAAACTGCTTTGTGATGTGTGCATTTAACTCAAAGTCTTGATCCTTACTTTTGTTAGAGCAGTGTTGAAACACACTTTTTGTAGAACCTGGTAGTGTTCATTTGGAGAGGTTTGTTGCCTATGGTGGAAAAAGGATTATCTTCTCTTAAAAACTAGACAGAAGCATTCTTAGAAACTGCTTTGTGATGTGTGTGTTCAATTCACAGAGTTGAAACTTTCCTTTGACAGAGCAGGTTTGAAACACTGCTTCTGTAGAATCTGCTTGTGGATATTGGGAGCTCCTTGAGGAATACGTTTTAAAAGGCATATCTTCACATACAAACTAGACAGAAGCATTCTCAGAAACTGCTTTGTGATGTGCGCATTCAACTCACAGAGTTGAACCTTCCTTTTGAGAGAGCAGTTATGAAACAGTCTTTTTGTAGTATCTGCAAGTGGATATTTGGAGCGATTTGTGACCTATGATGGAAAAGGGAATAACTTCACATACAAATTAGACAGAAGCAGTCTCAGGAACTGCTTTGTGATGTGTGCAGTCAACTCCTAGACTTGAAGTTTCCTTTTGAGAGAGAGGTTTTGAAACAGTCTTTTTACAGTATCTGCAAGTGGATATTTGTAGTGATTTGAGGCCTAAGATGGAAAAGGAAATATCTTCACATACAAACTCGACAGAAGCATTCTCAGGAACTGCTTGGTGATGTGTGCATTTAACTCAAACAGTTGAACCTTCCTTTTGAGAGACCAGTTTTGAAGTAGTCTTTTTGTCATATCAGCAAGTGGATATTTGCGGCGATTTGTGGAGTATTGTGGAAAATGAAATATCTTCACATACAAACTAGACAGAAGCATTATCAGAAACTGCTTTGTGATGTGTGCATTTAACTCACAGACTTGAAACTTCCTTTAGATAGAGCAGTGTTGAAGCACACTTTTTGTATAATCTACAAGTGTTCTTTGGTGTGCTTTGTTGCCTATGTTGGAAAAAGAAATATCTTCACATAAAAACTAGACAGAAGCATTCTCAGAAACTCCTTTGTGATGGGTTTGTTCAATTCACATTGTTGAACCTTTCTTTTGATACAGCAGTGTTGAAACAAACATTTTGTAGAATCTGCAAGTGCTCGTTTCAAATGCTTTGTGGCCTATGTTGGAAAAAGTGATATGTTCACCTAAAAAATAGACAGAAGCATTCTCAGGAACTGCTTTGTAATATGTGCATTCAACTCACAGAGTTGAACCTTCCTTTTGAGAGAGCGGTTTTGAAACAGTCTTTTTGTAGTATCTGCAAGTGGATATTTGGAGCGATTTGAGGTCTAAGAAGGAAAAGGAAGTACCTTCAAATAAAAACTAGACAGAAGCATTCTCAGAAACTGCTTGGTGATGTGTGCATTTAACTCACAGACTTGATCCTTACTTTTGTTAGAGCAGTGTTGAAACACACTTTTTGTAGAACCTGGTAGTGTTCATTTGGAGAGATTTGTTGCCTATGGTGGAAAAAGGATTATCTTCTCTTAAAAACTAGACAGAAGCATTCTTAGAAACTGCTTTGTGATGTGTGTGTTCAATTCACAGAGTTGAAACTTTCCTTTGATAGAGCAGTTTTGAAACACTGCTTTTGTAGAATCTGCTTGTGGATATTGGGAGCTCTTTGAGGAATACGTTGTAAAAGGCATATCTTCACATACAAACTAGACAGAAGCAGTCTCAGGAACTGCTTTGTGATGTGTGCATTCAACTCACAGATTTGAACTTTCCTTTTGAGAGGGAGGTTTTGAAACAGTCTTTTTGTAATGTCTGCCAGTGGATATTTGGAGCGATTCGAGTACTATGATGGAAAAGGAAATATCTTCACATACAAACTAAACAGAAGCATTCTCAGAAACTGCTTTGTGATGTGTGCATTCAACCCACAGAGTTGAACCTTCCTTTTGAGAGAGCAGTGTTGAAACGGTCTTTTGTAGTATCTGCAAGTGGATATTTGGAGCGATTTGAGGTCTATGATGGAAAAGGAAATATCTTCACATACAAACTAGACGGAAGCATTCTCAGAAACTGCTTTATGATGTGTGCATTCAACCGACAGATTTGAACTTTCCTTTGGAGAGGGAGGTTTTGAAACAGTCTTTTTGTAGTATCTGCAAGTGGATATTTGTAGTGACTTGGGGCCTCAGATGGAAAAGGAAATACCTTCACATGCAAACTAGACAGAAGTATTCTCAGAACCTCCATTGCGATGTGTGCACTCAACTCACAGAGTTGAACCTTCCTTTTGAGAGAGCAGTTTTGAAACAGTCTTTTTGTAACGTCTGCAGGTGGATATTTGGAGCGATTCGTGTACTATGATGGAAAAGGAAATATCTTCACATACAAACTAAACAGAAGCATTCTCAGAAACTTCTTGTGATGTGTGCATTCACCTAACAGAGTGGAACCGTTCTTTTGATAGAGCAGTTTTGAATCAGTCTTTTGGTAGGACCTGCAAGTTTTCATTTGGAGCGCTTTGAAGCCCATGGTGGAAAAGGGACTATCTTCACAAAAAACTAGGCAGAAGCCTTCTCAGGAACTTCATTGAGATGTGTGCATTCAACTAACAGAGTTGAAACTGTCTTTTGACAGAGGAGGAATGAAACACTCCTTTTGTAGTATCTGATTGTGTATATTTGGAACTCTTTGAGTTATTCGTTGGAAACGGGTATCTTCACCTAAAAAGTAGACCCAAGCATTCTCAGAAGGTTCTTTGTGATGTGGGCGTTCAACTCACAGACTTGAAACTTTCTTTTGATAGAGCAGTGTTGAAACACACTTTTTGTAGAATCCAGAAGTATTCGTTTGGAGCGCTTTGTTGCCTATGTGGGAAAAAGGAATATCTTCACTTAAAAACTAGACAGAAGCATTCTCTGAAACTCCTCTGTGAAGTGTGTGTTCATTTCACATCGTTGAACCTTTCTTTTGATAGAGCAGTGTTGAAACATACTTTTTGTAGAATCTGCAAGTGTCCATTTCGAGTTCTTTTGTGCGTATGTTGGAAAAAGTGATATCTTCACCTGAAAAATAGACAGAAGCATTCCAGAAACTGCTTTGTAACATGTGCATTCAACTCACAGTGTTGAACCTTCCTTTTGAGAGAGCGGTTTTGAAACAGTCTTTCTGTAGTATCTGCAAGTGGATATTTGCAGTGATTTGAGGCCGAAGAAGGAAAAGGAAATACCTTCAAATAAAAAACTAGACGGAAGCATTTTCAGAAACTGCCTTGTGATGTGTGCATTCAACTCACAGAGTTGAACCTTCCTTTTGAGAGAGAAGTTTTGAAACAGTCTTTTTGTAGTATTTGCAAGTGGATATTTGGAGCGATTTGTGGAGTATGGTGATAAATGAAATATCTTCACATACAAACTAGACAGAAGCATTGTCAGAAACTGCTTTGTGATGTGTGCATTTAAGTCACAGACTTGAAACTTCCTTTAGGTAGAGCAGTGTTGAAACACACTTTTTGTATAATCTACAAGTGTTCTTTGGAGTGCTTTGTTGCCTATGTTGGAAAAAGAAATATCTTCACATAAAAACTAGACAGAAGCATTCTCAGAAACTCCTTTGTGATGGGTGTGTTCAATTCACATTGTTGAACCTTGCTTTTGATACAGCAGTGTGGAAACAAACATTTTGTAGAATCTGCAAGTGTTCATTTCAAATGCTTTCTGGCCTATGTTGGAAAAAGTGATATCTTCACCTAAAAAATAGACAGAAGCATTCTCAGGAACTGCTTTGTAATATGTGCATTCAACTCACAGAGTTGAACCTTTCTTTTGAGAGAGCGGTTTTGAAACAGTCTTTTTGCAGTATCTGCAAGTGGATATTTGGAGCGATTTGAGGTCTAAGAAGTAAAAGGAAATACCTTCAAATAAAAACTAGACAGAAGCTTTCTCAGAAACTGCTTTGTGATGTGTGCATTTAACTCAAAGTCTTGATCCTTACTTTTGTTAGAGCAGTGTTGAAACACACTATTTGTAGACCCTGGTAGTGTTCATTTGGAGAGATTTGTTGCCTATGGTGGAAAAAGGATTATCTTCTCTTAAATACTAGACAGAAGCATTCTTAGAAACTGCTTTGTGATGTGTGTGTTCAATTCACAGAGTTGAAACTTTCCTTTGACAGAGCAGGTTTGAAACACTGCTTCTGTAGAATCTGCTTGTGGATATTGGGAGCTCCTTGAGGAATACGTTGTAAAAGGCATATCTTCACATACAAACTAGACAGAAGCATTCTCAGAAACTCCGTTGTGATGTGTGCATTCAACTCACAGAGTTGAACCTTTCATTTGAGAGAGCAGTGTTGAAACAGTCTTTTTGTAGTATCTGCAAGTGGATATTTGGAGCGATTTGAGGCCTATGATGGAAAAGGAAATATCTTCACATACAAACTAGACAGAAGCATTCTCAGAAACTGCTTTGTGATGTGTGCATTCAACCCACAGATTTGAACCTTCCTTTTGAGAGAGCAGTGTTGAAACGGTCTTTTGTAGTATCTGCAAGTGGATATTTGGAGCGATTTGAGGCCTATGATGGAAAAGCAAATATCTTCACATACAAACTAGACAGAAGCATTCTCAGAAACTGCTTTGTGATGTGTGCATTCAACCGACAGATTTGAACTTTCCTTTTGAGAGGGAGGGTTTGAAACAGTCTTTTTGTAGTATCTGCAAGTGGATATTTGTAGTGACTTGGGGCCTCAGGTGGAAAAGGAAATACCTTCACATACAAAGTAGACAGAAGTATTCTCAGAAACTCCATTGTGATGTGTGCACTCAACTCACAGAGTTGAACCTTCCTTTTGAGAGAGCAGTTTTGAAACAGTCTTTTTGTAATGTCTGCAGGTGGATATTTGGAGCGATTCGAGTACTATGATGGAAAAGGAAATATCTTCACATACAAACTAAACAGAAGCATTCTCAGAAACTTCTTGTGATGTGTGCGTTCACCTAACAGAGTGGAACCGTTCTTTTGATAGAGCCGTTTTGAATCAGTCTTTTGGTAGGACCTGCAGATTTTCATTTGGAGCGCTTTGAAACCCATGGTGGAAAAGGGACTATCTTCACAAAAAACTAGGCAGAAGCCTTCTCAGGAACTTCATTGAGATGTGTGCATTCAACTAACAGAGTTGAAACTGTCTTTTGACAGAGGAGGAATGAAACACTCCTTTTGTAGTATCTGATTGTGTATATTTGGAACTCTTTGAGTTATTCGTTGGAAACGGGTATCTTCACATAAAAAGTAGACCCAAACATTCTCAGAAGGTTCTTTGTGATGTGTGCGTTCAACTCACAGACTTGAAACTTTCTTTTGATAGAGCAGTGTTGAAACACACTTTTTGTAGAATCCACAAGTATTCGTTTGGAGCGCTTTGTTGCCTATGTGGGAAAAAGTAATATCTTCACTTAAAAACTAGACAGAAGCATTCTCTGAAACTCCTCTGTGAAGTGTGTGTTCAATTCACATCGTTGAACCTTTCTTTTGATAGAGCAGTGTTGAAACATACTTTTTGTAGAATCTGCAAGTGTCCATTTCGAGTTCTTTTGTGCGTATGTTGGAAAAAGTGATATCTTCACCTGAAAAATAGACAGAAACATTCTCAAAAACTGCTTTGTGATGTGTGCATTCAAGTCACACAGTTGAACCTTCCTTTTGAGAGAGCGGTTTTGAAACAGTCTTTTTGTAGTATCTGCAAGTGGATATTTGCAGTGATTTGAGGCCGAAGAAGGAAAAGGAAATTCCTTCAAATAAAAAACTAGACGGAAGCATTTTCAGAAACTGCCTTGTGATGTGTGCATTCAACTCACAGAGTTGAACCTTCCTTTTGAGAGAGAAGTTTTGAAACAGTCTTTTTGTAGTATTTGCAAGTGGATATTTGGAGCGATTTGTGGAGTATGGTGGAAAATGAAATATCTTCACATACAAACTAGACAGAAGCATTGTCAGAAACTGCTTTGTGATGTGTGCATTTAAGTCACAGACTTGAAACTTCCTTTAGGTAGAGCAGTGTTGAAACACACTTTTTGTATAATCTACAAGTGTTCTTTGGAGTGCTTTGTTGCCTATGTTGGAAAAAGAAATATCTTCACATAAAAACTAGCCAGAAGCATTCTCAGAAACTCCTTTGTAATGGGTTTGTTCAATTCACATTGTTGAACCTTTCTTTTGATACAGCAGTGTTGAAACAAACATTTTGTAGAATCTGCAAGGGTTCATTTCAAATGCTTTGCGGCCTATGTTGGAAAAAGTGATATCTTCACCTAAAAAATAGACAGAAGCATTCTCAGGAACTGCTTTGTAATATGTGCATTCAACTCACAGAGTTGAACCTTCCTTTTGAGAGAGCGGTTTTGAAACAGTCTTTTTGTAGTATCTGCAAGTGGATATTTGGAGCGATTTGAGGTCTAAGAAGGAAAAGGAAGTACCTTCAAATAAAAACTAGACAGAAGCTTTCTCAGAAACTGCTTTGTGATGTGTGCATTTAACTCAAAGTCTTGATCCTTACTTTTGTTAGAGCAGTGTTGAAACACACTTTTTGTAGAACCTGGTAGTGTTCATTTGGAGAGATTTGTTGCCTATGGTGGAAAAAGGATTATCTTCTCTTAAAAACTAGACAGAAGCATTCTTAGAAACTGCTTTGTGATGTGTGTGTTCAATTCACAGAGTTGAAACTTTCCTTTGATAGAGCAGTTTTGAAACACTGCTTTTGTAGAATCTGCTTGTGGATATTGGGAGCTCTTTGAGGAATACGTTGTAAAAGGCATATCTTCACATACAAACTAGACAGAAGTATTCTCAGAAACTGCTTTGTGATGTGTGCATTCAACTCACAGAGTTGAACTTTCCGTTTGAGAGAGCAGTGTTGAAACAGTCTTTTTGTAGTATTTGCAAGTGGATATTTAGAGCGATTTGAGGCCTATGATTGAAAAGGAAATATCTTCACATACAAACTAGACAGAAGCATTCTCAGAAACTGCTTTGTGATGTGTGGATTCAACCCACAGAGTTGAACCTTCCTTTTGAGAGAGCAGTGTTGAAATGGTCTTTTGTAGTATCTGCAAGTGGATATTTGGAGCGATTTGAGGCCTATGATGGAAAAGGAAATATCTTCACATACAAACTAGACAGAAGCATTCTCAGAAACTGCTTTGTGATGTGTGCATTCAACCGACAGGATTTGAACTTTCCTTTTGAGAGGGAGGTTTTGAAACAGTCTTTTTGTAGTATCTGCAAGTGGATATTTGTGGTGACTTGGGGCCTCAGATGGAAAAGGAAATACCTTCACATACAAACTAGACAGAAGTATTCTCACATACTCCATTGTGATGTGTGCACTCAACTCACAGAGTTGAACCTTCCTTTTGAGAGAGCAGTTTTGAAACAGTCTTTTTGTAATGTCTGCAAGTGGATATTTGGAGCGATTCGAGTACTATGATGGAAAAGGAAATATCTTCACATACAAACTAAACGGAAGCATTCTCAGAAACTTCTTGTGATGTGTGCGTTCACCTAACAGAGTGGAACCGTTCTTTTGATAGAGCCGTTTTGAATCAGTCTTTTGGTAGGACCTGCAAGTTTTCATTTGGAGCGCTTTGAAGCCCATGGTGGAAAAGGGACTATCTTCACAAAAAACTAGGCAGAAGCCTTCTCAGGAACTTCATTGAGATGTGTGCATTCAACTAACAGAGTTGAAACTGTCTTTTGACAGAGGAGGAATGAATCACTCCTTTCGTAGTATCTGATTGTGTATATTTGGAACTCTTTGAGTTATTCGTTGGAAACGGGTATCTTCACATAAAAAGTAGACCCAAGCATTCTCAGAAGGTTCTTTGTGATGTGTGCGTTCAACTCACAGACTTGAAACTTTCTTTTGATAGAGCAGTGTTGAAACACACTTTTTGTAGAATCCACAAGTATTCGTTTGGAGCGCTTTGTTGCCTATGTGGGAAAAAGTAATATCTTCACTGAAAAACTAGACAGAAGCATTCTCTGAAACTCCTCTGTGAAGTGTGTGTTCAATTCACATCGTTGAACCTTTCTTTTGATAGAGCAGTGTTGAAACATACTTTTTGTAGAATCTGCAAGTGTCCATTTCGAGTTCTTTTGTGCGTATGTTGGAAAAAGTGATATCTTCACCTGAAAAATAGACAGAAGCATTCCAGAAACTGCTTTGTAACATGTGCATTCAACTCACAGTGTTGAACCTTCCTTTTGTGAGAGCGGTTTTGAAACAGTCTTTTTGTAGTATCTGCAAGTGGATATTTGCAGTGATTTGAGGCCGAAGAAGGAAAAGGAAATACCTTCAAATAAAAAACTAGACGGAAAGCATTTTCAGAAACTGCCTTGTGATGTGTGCATTCAACTCACAGAGTTGAACCTTCCTTTTGAGAGAGAAGTTTTGAAACAGTCTTTTTGTAGTATTTGCAAGTGGATATTTGGAGCGATTTGTGGAGTATGGTGGAAAATGAAATATCTTCACATACAAACTAGACAGAAGCATTCTCAGAAACTGCTTTGTGATGTGTGCATTTAAGTCACAGACTTGAAACTTCCTTTAGGTAGAGCAGTGTTGAAACACACTTTTTGTATAATCTACAAGTGTTCTTTGGAGTGCTTTGTTGCCTATGTTGGAAAAAGAAATATCTTCACATAAAAACTAGACAGAAGCATTCTCAGAAACTCCTTTGTAATGGGTTTGTTCAATTCACATTGTTGAACCTTTCTTTTGATACAGCAGTGTTGAAACAAACATTTTGTAGAATCTGCAAGGGTTCATTTCAAATGCTTTGCGGCCTATGTTGGAAAAAGTGATATCTTCACCTAAAAAATAGACAGAAGCATTCTCAGGAACTGCTTTGTAATATGTGCATTCAACTCACAGAGTTGAACCTTCCTTTTGAGAGAGCGGTTTTGAAACAGTCTTTTTGTAGTATCTGCAAGTGGATATTTGCAGCGATTTGAGGTCTAAGAAGGAAAAGGAAGTACCTTCAAATAAAAACTAGACAGAAGCTTTCTCAGAAACTGCTTTGTGATGTGTGCATTTAACTCAAAGTCTTGATCCTTTCTTTTGACAGAGCAGTGTTGAAACACACTTTTGGTAGAACCTGCTAGTGTTCATTTGGAGAGATTTGTTGCCTATGGTGGAAAAAGATTATCTTCTCTTAAAAACTAGAGAGAAGCATTCTTAGAAGCTGCTTTGTGATGTGTGTGTTCAATTCACAGAGTTGAAACTTTCCTTTGATAGAGCAGGTTTGAAACACTGCTTTTGTAGAATCTGCTTGTGGATATTGGGAGCTCTTTGAGGAATACGTTGTAAAAGGCATATCTTCACATACAAACTAGACAGAAGCATTCTCAGAAACTCCGTTGTGATGTGTGCATTCAACTCACAGAGTTGAACCTTCCTTTTGAGAGAGCAGTGTTGAAACGGTCTTTTGTAGTATCTGCAAGTGGATATTTGGAGTGATTTGTGGCCTATGATGGAAAAGGAAATATCTTCACATACAAACTAGACAGAAGCAGTCTCAGGAACTGCTTTGTGATGTGTGCATTCAACTCACAGATTTGAACTTTCCTTTTGAGAGGGAGGTTTTGAAACAGTCTTTTTGTAGTATCTGTAAATGGATATTTGTAGTGACTTGGGGCCTCAGATGGAAAAGGAAATACCTTCACATACAAAGTTGACAGAAGTATTCTCAGAACCTCCATTGCGATGTGTGCACTCAACTCACAGAGTTGAACCTTCCTTTTGAGAGAGCAGTTTTGAAACAGTCTTTTTGTAACGTCTGCAGGTGGATATTTGGAGCGATTCGTGTAGTATGATGGAAAAGGAAATATCTTCACATACAAACTAAACAGAAGCATTCTCAGAAACTTCTTGTGATGTGTGCATTCACCTAACAGAGTGGAACCGTTCTTTTGATAGAGCAGTTTTGAATCAGTCTTTTGGTAGGACCTGCAAGTTTTCATTTGGAGCGCTTTGAAGCCCATGGTGGAAAAGGGACTATCTTCACAAAAAACTAGGCAGAAGCCTCCTCAGGAACTTCACTGAGATGTGTGCATTCAACTAACATAGTTGAAACTGTCTTTTGACAGAGCAGGAATGAAACACTCCTTTTGCAGTATCTGACTGTGTATATTTGGAACTCTTTGAGTTATTCGTTGGAAACGGGTATCTTCACATAAAAAGTAGACCCAAGCATTCTCAGAAGGTTCTTTGTGATGTGTGCGTTCAACTCACAGACTTGAAACTTTCTTTTGATAGAGCAGTGTTGAAACACACTTTTTGTAGAATCCACAAGTATTCCTTTGGAGCGCTTTGTTGCCTATGTGGGAAAAAGGAATATCTTCACTTAAAAACTAGACAGAAGCATTCTCTGAAACTCCTCTGTGAAGTGTGTGTTCATTTCACATCGTTGAACCTTTCTTTTGATAGAGCAGTGTTGAAACATACTTTTTGTAGAATCTGCAAGTGTCCATTTCGAGTTTTTTTGTGCGTATGTTGGAAAAAGTGATATCTTCACCTGAAAAATAGACAGAAGCATTCCAGAAACTGCTTTGTAACATGTGCATTCAACTCACAGTGTTGAACCTTCCTTTTGAGAGAGCGGTTTTGAAACAGTCTTTTTGTAGTATCTGCAATTGGATATTTGCAGTGATTTGAGGCCGAAGAAGGAAAAGGAAATACCTTCAAATAAAAAACTAGACGGAAGCATTTTCAGAAACTGCCTTGTGATGTGTGCATTCAACTCACAGAGTTGAACCTTCCTTTTGAGAGAGAAGTTTTGAAACAGTCTTTTTGTAGTATTTGCAAGTGGATATTTGGAGCGATTTGTGGAGTATGGTGGAAAATGAAATACCTTCACATACAAAGTAGACAGAAGCATTGTCAGAAACTGCTTTGTGATGTGTGCATTTAAGTCACAGACTTGAAACTTCCTTTAGGTAGAGCAGTGTTGAAACACACTTTTTGTATAATCTACAAGTGTTCTTTGGAGTGCTTTGTTGCCTATGTTGGAAAAAGAAATATCTTCACATAAAAACTAGACAGAAGCATTCTCAGAAACTCCTTTGTGATGGGTGTGTTCAATTCACATTGTTGAACCTTGCTTTTGATACAGCAGTGTTGAAACAAACATTTTGTAGAATCTGCAAGTGTTCATTTCAAATGCTTTGTGGCCTATGTTGGAAAAAGTGATATCTTCACCTAAAAAATAGACAGAAGCATTCTCAGGAACTGCTTTGTAATATGTGCATTCAACTCACAGAGCTGAACCTTCCTTTTGAGAGAGCGGTTTTGAAACAGTCTTTTTGTAGTATCTGCAAGTGGATATTTGGAGCGATTTGAGGTCTAAGAAGGAAAAGGAAGTACCTTCAAATAAAAACTAGACAGAAGCTTTCTCAGAAACTGCTTTGTGATGTGTGCATTTAACTCAAAGTCTTGATCCTTACTTTTGTTAGAGCAGTGTTGAAACACACTTTTTGTAGAACCTGGTAGTGTTCATTTGGAGAGATTTGTTGCCTATGGTGGAAAAAGGATTATCTTCTCTTAAAAACTAGACAGAAGCATTCTTAGAAACGGCTTTGTGATGTGTGTGTTCAATTCACAGAGTTGAAACTTTCCTTTGACAGAGCAGGTTTGAAACACTGCTTCTGTAGAATCTGCTTGTGGATATTGGGAGCTCCTTGAGGAATACGTTGTAAAAGGCATATCTTCACATACAAACTAGACAGAAGCATTCTCAGAAACTGCTTTGTGATGTGTGCATTCAACTCACAGAGTTGAACCTTCCATTTGAGAGAGCAGTGTTGAAACGGTCTTTTTGTAGTATCTTCAAGTGGATATTTGGAGCGATTTGAGGCCTATGATGGAAAAGGAAATATCTTCACATACAAACTAGACAGAAGCATTCTCAGAAACTGCTTCGTGATGTGTGCATTCAACCCACAGAGTTGAACCTTCCTTTTGAGAGAGCAGTGTTGAAACGGTCTTTTGTAGTATCTGCAAGTGGATATTTGGAGCGATTTGAGGCCTATGATGGAAAAGGAAATATCTTCACATACAAACTAGACAGAAGCATTCTCAGAAACTGCTTTGTGATGTGTGCATTCAACCGACAGATTTGAACTTTCCTTTTGAGAGGGAGGTTTTGAAACAGTCTTTTTGTAGTATCTGCAAGTGGATATTTGTAGTGACTTGGGGCCTCAGATGGAAAAGGAAATACCTTCACATACAAACTAGACAGAAGTATTCTCAGAAACTCCATTGTGATGTGTGCACTCAACTCACAGAGTTGAACCTTCCTTTTGAGAGAGCAGTTTTGAAACAGTCTTTTTGTAATGTCTGCAAGTGGATATTTGGAGCGATTCGAGTACTATGATGGAAAAGGAAATATCTTCACATACAAACTAAACAGAAGCATTCTCAGAAACTTCTTGTGATGTGTGCATTCACCTAACAGAGTGGAACCGTTCTTTTGATAGAGCAGTTTTGAATCAGTCTTTTGGTAGGACCTGCAAGTTTTCATTTGGAGCGCTTTGAAGCCCTTGGTGGAAAAGGGACTATCATCTTCACAAAAAACTAGGCAGAAGCCTTCTCAGGAACTTCATTGAGATGTGTGCATTCAAGTAACAGAGTTGAAACTGTCTTTTGACAGAGGAGGAATGAAACACTCCTTTTGTAGTATCTGATTGTGTATATTTGGAACTCTTTGAGTTATTCGTTGGAAACGGGTATCTTCACATAAAAAGTAGACCCAAGCATTCTCAGAAGGTTCTTTGTGATGTGTGCGTTCAACTCACAGACTTGAAACTTTCTTTTGATAGAGCAGTGTTGAAACACACTTTTTGTAGAATCCACAAGTATTCCTTTGGAGCGCTTTGTTGCCTATGTGGGAAAAAGGAATATCTTCACTTAAAAACTAGACAGAAGCATTCTCTGAAACTCCTCTGTGAAGTGTGTGTTCAATTCACATCGTTGAACATTTCTTTTGATAGAGCAGTGTTGAAACATACTTTTTGTAGAATCTGCAAGTGTCCATTTCGAGTTCTTTTGTGCGTATGTTGGAAAAAGTGATATCTTCACCTGAAAAATAGACAGAAGCATTCCAGAAACTGCTTTGTAACATGTGCATTCAACTCACAGTGTTGAACCTTCCTTTTGAGAGAGCGGTTTTGAAACAGTCTTTTTGAAGTATCTGCAAGTGGATATTTGCAGTGATTTGAGGCCGAAGGAGGAAAAGGAAATACCTTCAAATAAAAAACTAGACGGAAGCATTTTCAGAAACTGCCTTGTGATGTGTGCATTCAACTCACACAGTTGAACCTTCCTTTTGAGAGAGAAGTTTTGAAACAGTCTTTTTGTAGTATTTGCAAGTGGATATTTGGAGCGATTTGTGGAGTATGGTGGAAAATGAAATATCTTCACATACAAGCTAGACAGAAGCATTGTCAGAAACTGCTTTGTGATGTGTGCATTTAAGTCACAGACTTGAAACTTCCTTTAGGTAGAGCAGTGTTGAAACACACTTTTTGTATAATCTACAAGTGTTCTTTGGAGTGCTTTGTTGGCTACGTTGAAAAAGAAATATCTTCACATAGAAACTAGACAGAAGCATTCTCAGAAACTCCTTTGTGATGGGTGTGTTCAATTCACATTGTTGAACCTTTCTTTTGATACAGCAGTGTTGAAACAAACATTTTGTAGAATCTGCAAGTGTTCATTTCAAATGCTTTGTGGCCTAAGTTGGAAAAAGTGATATGTTCTCCTAAAAAATAGACAGAGGCATTCTCAGGAACTGCTTTGTAATATGTGCATTCAACTCACAGAGTTGAACCTTCCTTTTGAGAGAGCGGTTTTGAAACAGTCTTTTTGTAGTATCTGCAAGTGGATATTTGGAGCGATTTGAGGTCTAAGAAGGAAAAGGAAGTACCTTCAAATAAAAACTAGACAGAAGCTTTCTCAGAAACTGCTTTGTGATGTGTGCATTTAACTCAAAGTCTTGATCCTTACTTTTGTTAGAGCAGTGTTGAAACACACTTTTTGTAGAACCTGGTAGTGTTCATTTGGAGAGATTTGTTGCCTATGGTGGAAAAAGGATTATCTTCTCTTAAAAACTAGACAGAAGCATTCTTAGAAACTGCTTTGTGATGTGTGTGTTCAATTCACAGAGTTGAAACTTTCCTTTGACAGAGCAGGTTTGAAACACTGCTTCTGTAGAATCTGCTTGTGGATATTGGGAGCTCCTTGAGGAATACGTTGTAAAAGGCATATCTTCACATACAAACTAGACAGAAGCATTCTCAGAAACTGCTTTGTGATGTGTGCATTCAACTCACAGAGTTGAACCTTCCATTTGAGAGAGCAGTGTTGAAACGGTCTTTTTGTAGTATCTTCAAGTGGATATTTGGAGCGATTTGAGGCCTATGATGGAAAAGGAAATATCTTCACATACAAACTAGACAGAAGCATTCTCAGAAACTGCTTTGTGATGTGTGCATTCAACCCACAGAGTTGAACCTTCCTTTTGAGAGAGCAGTGTTGAAACGGTCTTTTGTAGTATCTGCAAGTGGATATTTGGGGCGATTTGAGGCCTATGATGGAAAAGGAAATATCTTCACATACAAACTAGACAGAAGCATTCTCAGAAACTGCTTTGTGATGTGTGCATTCAACCGACAGATTTGAACTTTCCTTTGGAGAGGGAGGTTTTGAAACAGTCTTTTTGTAGTATCTGCAAGTGGATATTTGTAGTGACTTGGGGCCTCAGGTGGAAAAGGAAATACCTTCACATACAAAGTAGACAGAAGTATTCTCAGAAACTCCCATTGTGATGTGTGCACTCAACTCACAGAGTTGAACCTTCCTTTTGAGAGAGCAGTTTTGAAACAGTCTTTTTGTAATGGCTGCAGGTGGATATTTGGAGCGATTCGAGTACTATGATGGAAAAGGAAATATCTTCACATACAAACTAAACAGAAGCATTCTCAGAAACTTCTTGTGATGTGTGCGTTCACCTAACAGAGTGGAACCGTTCTTTTGATAGAGCAGTTTTGAATCAGTCTTTTGGTAGGACCTGCAAGTTTTCATTTGGAGCGCTTTGAAGCCCATGGTGGAAAAGGGACTATCTTCACAGAAAACTAGGCAGAAGCCTTCTCCGGAACTTCATTGAGATGTGTGCATTCAACTAACAGAGTTGAAACTGTCTTTTGACAGAGGAGGAATGAAACACTCCTTTTGTAGTATCTGATTGTGTATATTTGGAACTCTTTGAGTTATTCGTTGGAAACGGGTATCTTCACATAAAAAGTAGACCCAAGCATTCTCAGAAGGTTCTTTGTGATGTGTGCGTTCAACTCACAGACTTGAAACTTTCTTTTGATAGAGCAGTGTTGAAACACACTTTTTGTAGAATCCACAAGTATTCGTTTGGAGCGCTTTGTTGCCTATGTGGGAAAAAGGAATATCTTCACTTAAAAACTAGACAGAAGCATTCTCTGAAACTCCTCTGTGAAGTGTGTGTTCAATTCACATCGTTGAACCTTTCTTTTGATAGAGCAGTGTTGAAACATACTTTTTGTAGAATCTGCAAGTGTCCATTTCGAGTTCTTTTGTGCGTATGTTGGAAAAAGTGATATCTTCACCTGAAAAATAGACAGAAGCATTCCAGAAACTGCTTTGTAACATGTGCATTCAACTCACAGTGTTGAACCTTCCTTATGAGAGAGCGGTTTTGAAACAGTCTTTTTGTAGTATCTGCAAGTGGATATTTGCAGTGATTTGAGGCCAAAGAAGGAAAAGGAAATACCTTCAAATAAAAAACTAGACGGAAGCATTTTTGGAAACTGCCTTGTGATGTGTGCATTCAACTCACAGAGTTGAACCTTCCTTTTGAGAGAGAAGTTTTGAAACAGTCTTTTTGTAGTATTTGCAAGTGGATATTTGGAGCGATTTGTGGAGTATGGTGGAAAATGAAATATCTTCACATACAAAATAGACAGAAGCATTCTCAGAAACTGCTTTGTGATGTGTGCACTTAAGTCACAGACTTGAAACTTCCTTTAGGTAGAGCAGTGTTGAAACACACTTTTTGTATAATCTACAAGTGTTCTTTGGAGTGCTTTGTTGCCTATGTTGGAAAAAGAATTATCTTCACATAAAAACTAGACAGAAGCATTCTCAGAAACTCCTTTGTGATGGGTTTGTTCAATTCACATTGTTGAACCTTTCTTTTAGATACAGCAGTGTTGAAACAAACACTTTGTAGAATCTACAAGGGTTCATTTCAAATGCTTTGTGGCCTATGTTGGAAAAAGTGATATGTTCACCTAAAAAATAGGCAGAAGCATTCCAGGAACTGCTTTGTAATATGTGCATTCAACTCACAGAGTTGAACCTTCCTTTTGAGAGAGCGGTTTTGAAACAGTCTTTTTGTAGTATCTGCAAGTGGATATTTGGAGCGATTTGAGGTCTAAGAAGGAAAAGGAAGTACCTTCAAATAAAAACTAGACAGAAGCTTTCTCAGAAACTGCTTTGTGATGTGTGCATTTAACTCAAAGTCTTGATCCTTACTTTTGTTAGAGCAGTGTTGAAACACATTTTTGTAGAACCTGGTAGTGTTCATTTGGAGAGATTTGTTGCCTATGGTGGAAAAAGGATTATCTTCTCTTAAAAACTAGACAGAAGCATTCTTAGAAACTGCTTTGTGATGTGTGCATTCAATTCACAGAGTTGAAACTTTCCTTTGATAGAGCAGGTTTGAAACACTGCTTTTGTAGAATCTGCTTGTGGATAGTGGGAGCTCTTTGAGGAATACGTTGTAAAAGGCATATCTTCACATACAAACTAGACAGAAGCATTCTCAGAAACTGCTTTGTGATGTGTGCATTCAACTCACAGAGTTGAACCTTCCATTTGAGAGAGCAGTGTTGAAACGATCTTTTTGTAGTATCTTCAATTGGATATTTGGAGCGATTTGAGGCCTATGATGGAAAAGGAAATATCTTCACATACAAACTAGACAGAAGCATTCTCAGAAACTGCTTTGTGATGTGTGCATTCAACTCACAGAGTTGAACCTTCCATTTGAGAGAGCAGTGTTGAAACGGTCTTTTGTAGTATCTGCAAGTGGATATTTGGAGCGATTTGAGGCCTAAGATGGAAAAGGAAATATCTTCACATACAAACTAGACAGAAGCATTCTCAGAAACTGCTTTGTGATGTGTGCATTCAACCGACAGGATTTGAACTTTCCTTTGGAGAGGGAGGTTTTGAAACAGTCTTTTTGTAGTATCTGCAAGTGGATATTTGTAGTGTCGTGGGGCCTCAGGTGGAAAAGGAAATACCTTCACATACAAAGTAGACAGAAGTATTCTCAGAAACTCCATTGTGATGTGTGCACTCAACTCACAGAGTTAAACCTTCCTTTTGAGAGAGCAGTTTTGAAACAGTCTTTTTGTAACGTCTGCAGGTGGATATTTGGAGCGATTCGAGTAGTATGATGGAAAAGGAAATATCTTCACATACAAACTAAACAGAAGCATTCTCAGAAACTTCTTGTGATGTGTGCATTCACCTAACAGAGTGGAACCGTTCTTTTGATAGAGCAGTTTTGAATCAGTCTTTTGGTAGGACCTGCAAGTTTTCATTTGGAGCGCTTTGAAGCCCATGGTGGAAAAGGGACTATCTTCACAAAAAACTAGGCAGAAGCCTTCTCAGGAACTTCATTGAGAAGTGTGCATTCAACTAACAGAGTTGAAACTGTCTTTTGACAGAGGAGGAATGAAACACTCCTTTTGTAGTATCTGATTGTGTATATTTGGAACTCTTTGAGTTATTCGTTGGAAACGGGTATCTTCACCTAAAATGTAGACCCAAGCATTCTCAGAAGGTTCTTTGTGATGTGTGCGTTCAACTCACAGACTTGAAACTTTCTTTTGATAGAGCAGTGTTGAAACACACTTTTTGTAGAATCCACAAGTATTCGTTTGGAGCGCTTTGTTGCCTATGTGGGAAAAAGTAATATCTTCACTGAAAAACTAGACAGAAGCATTCTCTGAAACTCCTCTGTGAAGTGTGTGTTCAATTCACATCGTTGAACCTTTCTTTTGATGGAGCAGTGTTGAAACATACTTTTTGTAGAATCTGCAAGTGCCCATTTTGAGTTCTTTTGTGCGTATGTTGGAAAAAGTGATTTCTTCACCTGAAAAATAGACAGAAGCATTCCAGAAACTGCTTTGTAACATGTGCATTCAACTCACAGTGTTGAACCTTCCTTTTGAGAGAGCGGTTTTGAAACAGTCTTTTTGTAGTATCTGCAAGTGGATATTTGCAGTGATTTGAGGCCGAAGAAGGAAAAGGAAATACCTCAAATAAAAAACTAGACGGAAGCATTTTCAGAAACTGCCTTGTGATGTGTGCATTCAACTCACAGAGTTGAACCTTCCTTTTGAGAGAGAAGTTTTGAAACAGTCTTTTTGTGGTATTTGCAAGTGGATATTTGGAGCGATTTGTGGAGTATGGTGGAAAATGAAATATCTTCACATACAAACTAGACAGAAGCATTCTCAGAAACTGCTTTGTGATGTGTGCATTTAAGTCACAGACTTGAAACTTCCTTTAGGTAGAGCAGTGTTGAAACACACTTTTTGTATAATCTACAAGTGTTCTTTGGAGTGCTTTGTTGCCTATGTTGGAAAAAGAAATATCTTCACATAAAAACTAGACAGAAGCATTCTCAGAAACTCCTTTGTGAGGGGTTTGTTCAATTCACATTGTTGAACCTTTCTTTTGATACAGCAGTGTTGAAACAAACATTTTGTAGAATCTGCAAGTGTTCATTTCAAATGCTTTGTGGCCTATGTTGGAAAAAGTGATATCTTCACCTAAAAAATAGACAGAAGCATTCTCAGGAACTGCTTTGTAATATGTGCATTCAACTCACAGAGTTGAACCTTCCTTTTGAGAGAGCGGTTTTGAAACAGTCTTTTTGTAGTATCTGCAAGTCGATATTTGGAGCGATTTGAGGTCTAAGAAGGAAAAGGAAGTACCTTCAAATAAAAACTAGACAGAAGCATTCTCAGAAACTGCTTTGTGATGTGTGCTTTTAAGTCACAGACTTGAAACTTCCTTTAGGTAGAGCAGTGTTGAAACACACTTTTTGTAGTACCTGGTAGTGTTCATTTGGAGAGATTTGTTGCCTATGGTGGAAAAAGGATTATCTTCTCTTAAAAACTAGACAGAAGCATTCTTAGAAACTGCTTTGTGATGTGTGTGTTCAATTCACAGAGTTGAAACTTTCCTTTGATAGAGCAGGTTTGAAACACTGCTTTTGTAGAATCTGCTTGTGGATATTGGGAGCTCCTTCAGGAATACGTTGTAAAAGACTTATCTTCACATACAAACTAGACAGAAGCATTCTCAGAAACTGCTTTGTGATGTGTGCATTCAACTCACAGTGTTGAACCTTCCATTTGAGAGAGCAGTGTTGAAACAGTCTTTTTGTAGTATCTTCAAGTGGATATTTGGAGCGATTTGAGGCCTATGATGGAAAAGGAAATATCTTCACATACAAACTAGACAGAAGCATTCTCAGAAACTGCTTCGTGATGTGTGCATTCAACCCACAGAGTTGAACCTTCTTTTTGAGAGAGCAGTGTTGAAACGGTCTTTTGTAGTATCTGCAAGTGGATATTTGGAGCGATTTGAGGCCTATGATGGAAAAGGAAATATCTTCACATACAAACTAGACAGAAGCATTCTCAGAAACTGCTTTGTGATGTGTGCATTCAACCGACAGATTTGAACTTTCCTTTGGAGAGGGAGGTTTTGAAACAGTCTTTTTGTAGTATCTGCAAGTGGATTTTTGTAGTGACTTGGGGCCTCAGGTGGAAAAGGAAATACCTTCACATACAAAGTAGACAGAAGTATTCTCAGAAACTCCATTGTGATGTGTGCACTCAACTCACAGAGTTGAACCTTCCTTTTGAGAGAGCAGTTTTGAAACAGTCTTTTTGTAACGTCTGCAGGTGGATATTTGGAGCGATTCGAGTAGTATGATGGAAAAGGAAATATCTTCACATACAAACTAAACAGAAGCATTCTCAGAAACTTCTTGTGATGTGTGCATTCACCTAACAGAGTGGAACCGTTCTTTTGATAGAGCAGTTTTGAATCAGTCTTTTGGTAGGACCTGCAAGTTTTCATTTGGAGCGCTTTGAAGCCCATGGTGGAAAAGGGACTATCATCTTCACAAAAAACAAGGCAGAAGCCTTCTCAGGAACTTCATTGAGATGTGTGCATTCAACTAACAGAGTTGAAACTGTCTTTTGACAGAGGAGGAATGAAACACTCCTTTTGTAGTATCTGATTGTGTATATTTGGAACTCTTTGAGTTATTCGTTGGAAACAGGTATCTTAACATAAAAAGTAGACCCAAGCATTCTCAGAAGGTCCTTTGTGATGTGTGCGTTCAACTCACAGACTTGAAACTTTCTTTTGATAGAGCAGTGTTGAAACACAGTTTTTGTAGAATCCACAAGTATTCATTTGGAGCGCTTTGTTGCCTATGTGGGAAAAAGGAATATCTTCACTTAAAAACTAGACAGAAGCATTCTCTGAAACTCCTCTGTGAAGTGTGTGTTCATTTCACATCGTTGAACCTTTCTTTTGATAGAGCAGTGTTGAAACATACTTTTTGTAGAATCTGCAAGTGTCCATTTCGAGTTCTTTTGTGCGTATGTTGGAAAAAGTCATATCTTCACCTGAAAAATAGACGGAAGCATTCCAGAAACTGCTTTGTAACATGTGCATTCAACTCACAGTGTTGAACCTTCCTTTTGAGAGAGCGGTTTTGAAACAGTCTTTTTGTAGTATCTGCAAGTGGATATTTGCAGTGATTTGAGGCCGAAGAAGGAAAAGGAAATACCTTCAAATAAAAAACTAGACGGAAGCATTTTCAGAAACTGCCTTGTGATGTGTGCATTCAACTCACAGAGTTGAACCTTCCTTTTGAGAGAGAAGTTTTGAAACAGTCTTTTTGTAGTATTTGCAAGTGGATATTTGGAGCGATTTGTGGAGTATGGTGGAAAATGAAATATCTTCACATACAAACTAGACAGAAGCATTGTCAGAAATTGCTTTGTGATGTGCGCATTTAAGTCACAGACTTGAAACTTCCTTTAGGTAGAGCAGTGTTGAAACACACTTTTTGTATAATCTACAAGTGTTCTTTGGAGTGCTTTGTTGCCTATGTTGGAAAAAGAAATATCTTCACATAAAAACTAGACAGAAGCATTCTCAGAAACTCCTTTGTGATGGGTGTGTTCAATTCACATTGTTGAACCTTTCTTTTGATACAGCAGTGTTGAAACAAACATTTTGTAGAATCTGCAAGTGTTCATTTCAAATGCTTTGTGGCCTATGTTGGAAAAAGTGATATCTTCACCTAAAAAATAGACAGAAACATTCTCAGGAACTGCTTTGTAATATGTGCATTCAACTCACAGAGTTGAACCTTCCTTTTGAGAGAGCGGTTTTGAAACAGTCTTTTTGTAGTATCTGCAAGTGGATATTTGGAGCGATTTGAGGTCTAAGAAGGAAAAGGAAGTACCTTCAAATAAAAACTAGACAGAAGCTTTCTCAGAAACTGCTTTGTGATGTGTGCATTTAACTCAAAGTCTTGATCCTTACTTTTGTTAGAGCAGTGTTGAAACACACTTTTTGTAGAACCTGGTAGTGTTCATTTGGAGAGATTTGTTGCCTATGGTGGAAAAAGGATTATCTTCTCTTAAAAACTAGACAGAAGCATTCTTAGAAACTGCTTTGTGATGTGTGTGTTCAATTCACAGAGTTGAAACTTTCCTTTGATAGAGCAGTTTTGAAACACTACTTTTGTAGAATCTGCTTGTGGATATTGGGAGCTCTTTGAGGAATACGTTGTAAAAGGCATATCTTCACATACAAACTAGACAGAAGCATTCTGAGAAACTGCTTTGTGATGTGTGCATTCAACTCACAGAGTTGAACCTTCCATTTGAGAGAGCAGTGTTGAAACGATCTTTTTGTAGTATCTTCAATTGGATATTTGGAGCGATTTGAGGCCTATGATGGAAAAGGAAATATCTTCACATACAAACTAGACAGAAGCATTCTTAGAAACTGCTTTGTGATGTGTGTGTTCAATTCACAGAGTTGAAACTTTCCTTTGACAGAGCAGGTTTGAAACACTGCTTTTGTAGAATCTGCTTGTGGATATTGGGAGCTCCTTGAGGAATACGTTGTAAAAGGCATATCTTCACATACCAACTAGACAGAAGCATTCTCAGAAACTGCTTTGTGATGTGTGCATTCAACCGACAGATTTGAACTTTCCTTTGCAGAGGGAGGTTTTGAAACAGTCTTTTTGTAGTATCTGCAAGTGGATATTTGTAGTGACTTGGGGCCTCAGGTGGAAAAGGAAATACCTTCACATACAAAGTAGACAGAAGTATTCTCAGAAACTCCATTGTGATGTGTGCACTCAACTCACAGAGTTGAACCTTCCTTTTGAGAGAGCAGTTTTGAAACAGTCTTTTTGTAACGTCTGCAGGTGGATATTTGGAGCGATTCGTGTAGTATGATGGAAAAGGAAATATCTTCACATACAAACTAAACAGAAGCATTCTCAGAAACTTCTTGTGATGTGTGCATTCACCTAACAGAGTGGAACCGTTCTTTTGATAGAGCAGTTTTGAATCAGTCTTTTGGTAGGACCTGCAAGTTTTCATTTGGAGCGCTTTGAAGCCCATGGTGGAAAAGGGACTATCTTTAAAAAAAACTAGGCAGAAGCCTTCTCAGGAACTTCATTGAGATGTGGATGTGTGCATTCAACTAACAGAGTTGAAACTGTCTTTTGACAGAGGAGGAATGAAACACTCCTTTTGTAGTATCTGATTGTGTATATTTGGAACTCTTTGAGTTATTCGTTGGAAACAGGTATCTTCACATAAAAAGTAGACCCAAGCATTCTCAAAAGGTTCTTTGTGATGTGGGCGTTCAACTCACAGACTTGAAACTTTCTTTTGATAGAGCAGTGTTGAAACACACTTTTTGTAGAATCCACAAGTATTCGTTTGGAGCGCTTTGTTGCCTATGTGGGAAAAAGGAATATCTTCACTTAAAAACTAGACAGAAGCATTCTCTGAAACTCCTCTGTGAAGTGTGTGTTCAATTCACATCGTTGAACCTTTCTTTTGATAGAGCAGTGTTGAAACATACTTTTTGTAGAATCTGCAAGTGTCCATTTCGAGTTCTTTTGTGCGTATGTTGGAAAAAGTGATATCTTCACCTGAAAAATAGACAGAAGCATTCCAGAAACTGCTTTGTAACATGTGCATTCAACTCACAGTGTTGAACCTTCCTTTTGAGAGAGCGGTTTTGAAACAGTCTTTTTGTAGTATCTGCAAGTGGATATTTGCAGTGATTTGAGGCCGAAGAAGGAAAAGGAAATACCTTCAAATAAAAAACTAGACGGAAGCATTTTCAGAAACTGCCTTGTGATGTGTGCATTCAACTCACAGAGTTGAACCTTCCTTTTGAGAGAGAAGTTTTGAAACATTCTTTTTGTAGTATTTGCAAGTGGATATTTGGAGCGATTTGTGGAGTATGGTGGAAAATGAAATATCTTCACATACAAACTAGACAGAAGCATTCTCAGAAACTGCTTTGTGATGTGTGCATTTAAGTCACAGACTTGAAACTTCCTTTAGGTAGAGCAGTGTTGAAACACACTTTTTGTATAATCTACAAGTGTTCTTTGGAGTGCTTTGTTGCCTATGTTGGAAAAAGAAATATCTTCACATAAAAACTAGACAGAAGCATTCTCAGAAACTCCTTTGTGATGGGTTTGTTCAATTCACATTGTTGAACCTTTCTTTTGATACAGCAGGGTTGAAACAAACATTTTGTAGAATCTGCAAGTGTTCATTTCAAATGCTTTGTGGCCTATGTTGGAAAAAGTGATATGTTCACCTAAAAAATAGACAGAAGCATTCTCAGGAACTGCTTTGTAATATGTGCATTCAACTCACAGAGTTGAACCTTCCTTTTGAGAAGGCGGTTTTGAAACAGTCTTTTTGTAGTATCTGCAAGTGGATATTTGGAGCGATTTGAGGTCTAAGAAGGAAAAGGAAGTACCTTCAAATAAAAACTAGACAGAAGCTTTCTCAGAAACTGCTTTGTGATGTGTGCATTTAACTCAAAGTCTTGATCCTTACTTTTGTTAGAGCAGTGTTGAAACACACTTTTTGTAGAACCTGGTAGTGTTCATTTGGAGAGATTTGTTGCCTATGGTGGAAAAATGATTATCTTCTCTTAAAAACTAGACAGAAGCATTCTTAGAAACTGCTTTGTGATGTGTGTGTTCAATTCACAGAGTTGAAACTTTCCTTTGACAGAGCAGGTTTGAAACACTGCTTCTGTAGAATCTGCTTGTGGATATTGGGAGCTCCTTGAGGAATACATTGTAAAAGGCATATCCTCACATACAAACTAAACAGAATCATTCTCAGAAACTGCTTTGTGATGTGTGCATTCAACTCACAGAGTTGAACCTTCCATTTGAGAGAGCAGTGTTGAAACAGTCTTTTTGTAGTATCTGCAAGTGGATATTTGGAGCGATTTGAGGCCTATGATGGAAAAGGAAACATCTTCACATACAAACTAGACAGAAGCATTCTCAGAAACTGCTTCGTGATGTGTGCATTCAACCCACAGAGTTGAACCTTCTTTTTGAGAGAGCAGTGTTGAAACGGTCTTTTGTAGTATCTGCAAGTGGATATTTGGAGCGATTTGAGGCCTATGATGGAAAAGGAAATATCTTCACATACAAACTAGACAGAAGCAGTCTCAGGAACTGCTTTGTGATGTGTGCATTCAACTCACAGATTTGAACTTTCCTTTTGAGAGGGAGGTTTTGAAACAGTCTTTTTGTAGTATCTGCAAGTGGATATTTGTAGTGACTTGGGGCCTCAGATGGAAAAGGAAATACCTTCACATACAAAGTAGACAGAAGTATTCTCAGAAACTCCATTGTGATGTGTGCACTCAACTCACAGAGTTGAACCTTCCTTTTGAGAGAGCAGTTTTGAAACAGTCTTTTTGTAACGTCTGCAGGTGGATATTTGGAGCCATTCGTGTAGTATGATGGAAAAGGAAATATCTTCACATACAAACTAAACAGAAGCATTCTCAGAAACTTCTTGTGATGTGTGCGTTCACCTAACAGAGTGGAACCGTTCTTTTGATAGAGCAGTTTTGAATCAGTCTTTTGGTAGGACCTGCAAGTTTTCATTTGGAGCGCTTTGAAGCCCATGGTGGAAAAGGGAATATCTTCACAAAAAACTAGGCAGAAGCCTTCTCAGGAACTTCATTGAGATGTGTGCATTCAACTAACAGAGTTGAAACTGTCTTTTGACAGAGCAGGAATGAAACACTCCTTTTGTAGTATCTGATTGTGTATATTTGGAACTCTTTGAGTTATTCGTTGGAAACGGGTATCTTCACATAAAAAGTAGACCCAAGCATTCTCAGAAGGTTCTTTGTGATGTGTGCGTTCAACTCACAGACTTGAAACTTTCTTTTGATAGAGCAGTGTTGAAACACACTTTTTGTAGAATCCACAAGTATTCATTTGGAGCGCTTTGTTGCCTATGTGGGAAAAAGGAATATCTTCACTTAAAAACTAGACAGAAGCATTCTCTGAAACTCCTCTGTGAAGTGTGTGTTCAATTCACATCGTTGAACCTTTCTTTTGATAGAGCAGTGTTGAAACATACTTTTTGTAGAATCTGCAAGTGTCCATTTCGAGTTCTTTTGTGCGTATGCTGGAAAAAGTGATATCTTCACCTGAAAAATAGACAGAAGCATTCCAGAAACTGCTTTGTAACATGTGCATTCAACTCACAGTGTTGAACCTTCCTTTTGAGAGAGCGGTTTTGAAACAGTCTTTTTGTAGTATCTGCAAGTGGATATTTGCAGTGATTTGAGGCCGAAGAAGGAAAAGGAAATACCTTCAAATAAAAAACTAGACGGAAGCATTTTTGGAAACTGCCTTGTGATGTGTGCATTCAACTCACAGAGTTGAACCTTCCTTTTGAGAGAGAAGTTTTGAAACAGTCTTTTTGTAGTATTTGCAAGTGGATATTTGGAGCGATTTGTGGAGTATGGTGGAAAATGAAATATCTTCACATACAAAATAGACAGAAGCATTCTCAGAAACTGCTTTGTGATGTGTGCATTTAAGTCACAGACTTGAAACTTCCTTTAGGTAGAGCAGTGTTGAAACACACTTTTTGTATAATCTACAAGTGTTCTTTGGAGTGCTTTGTTGCCTATGTTGGAAAAAGAAATATCTTCACATAAAAACTAGACAGAAGCATTCTCAGAAACTCCTTTGTGATGGGTGTGTTCAATTCACATTGTTGAACCTTTCTTTTGATACAGCAGTGTTGAAACAAACATTTTGTAGAATCTGCAAGTGTTCATTTCAAATGCTTTGTGGCCTATGTTGGGAAAAAGTGATATCTTCACCTAAAAAATAGACAGAAGCATTCTCAGGAACTGCTTTGTAATATGTGCATTCAACTCACAGAGTTGAACCTTCCTTTTGAGAGAGCGGTTTTGAAACAATCTTTTTGTAGTATCTGCAAGTGGATATTTGGAGCGATTTGAGGTTTAATAAGGAAAAGGAAGTACCTTCAAATAAAAACTAGACAGAAGCTTTCTCAGAAACTGCTTTGTGATGTGTGCATTTAACTCAAAGTCTTGATCCTTACTTTTGTTAGAGCAGTGTTGAAACACACTTTTTGTAGAACCTGGTAGTGTTCATTTGGAGAGATTTGTTGCCTATGGTGGAAAAAGGATTATCTTCTCTTAAAAACTAGACAGAAGCATTCTTAGAAACTGCTTTGTGATGTGTGTGTTCAATTCACAGAGTTGAAACTTTCCTTTGACAGAGCAGGTTTGAAACACTGCTTCTGTAGAATCTGCTTGTGGATATTGGGAGCTCCTTGAGGAATACATTGTAAAAGGCATATCCTCACATACAAACTAAACAGAAGCATTCTCAGAAACTGCTTTGTGATGTGTGCATTCAACTCACAGAGTTGAACCTTCCATTTGAGAGAGGAGTGTTGAAACAGTCTTTTTGTAGTATCTTCAAGTGGATATTTGGAGCGATTTGAGGCCTATGATGGAAAAGGAAATATCTTCACATACAAATTAGACAGAAGCATTCTCAGAAACTGCTTTGTGATGTGTGCATTCAACCCACAGAGTTGAACCTTCCTTTTGAGAGAGCAGTGTTGAAACGGTCTTTTGTAGTATCTGCAAGTGGATATTTGGAGCGATTTGAGGCCTATGATGGAAAAGGAAATATCTTCACATACAAACTAGACAGAAGCATTCTCAGAAACTGCTTTGTGATGTGTGCATTCAACCGACAGATTTGAACTTTCCTTTGGAGAGGGAGGTTTTGAAACAGTCTTTTTGTAGTATCTGCAAGTGGATATTTGTAGTGACTTGGGGCCTCAGGTGGAAAAGGAAATACCTTCACATACAAAGTAGACCAGAAGTATTCTCAGAAACTCCATTGTGATGTGCGCACTGAACTCACAGAGTTGAACCTTCCTTTTGAGAGAGCAGTTGTGAAACAGTCTTTTTGTAACGTCTGCAAGTGGATATTTGGAGCGATTCGAGCACTATGATGGAAAAGGAAATATCTTCACATACAAACTAAACAGAAGCATTCTCAGAAACTTCTTGTGATGTGTGCGTTCACCTAACAGAGTGGAACCGTTCTTTTGATAGAGCCGTTTTGAATCAGTCTTTTGGTAGGACCTGCAAGTTTTCATTTGGAGCGCTTTGAAGCCCATGGTGGAAAAGGGACTATCTTCACAAAAACTAGGCAGAAGCCTTCTCAGGAACTTCATTGAGATGTGTGCATTCAACTAACAGAGTTGAAACTGTCTTTTGACAGAGGAGGAATGAAACACTCCTTTTGTAGTATCTGATTGTGTGTATTTGGAACTCTTTGAGTTATTCGTTGGAAACGGGTATCTTCACATAAAAAGTAGACCCAAGCATTCTCAGAAGGTTCTTTGTGATGTGTGCGTTCAACTCACAGACTTGAAACTTTCTTTTGATAGAGCAGTGTTGAAACACACTTTTTGTAGAATCCACAAGTATTCGTTTGGAGCGCTTTGTTGCCTATGTGGGAAAAAGGAATATCTTCACTTCAAAACTAGACAGAAGCATTCTCTGAAACTCCTCTGTGAAGTGTGTGTTCAATTCACATCGTTGAACCTTTCTTTTGATAGAGCAGTGTTGAAACATACTTTTTGTAGAATCTGCAAGTGTCCATTTCGAGTTCTTTTGTGCGTATGTTGGAAAAAGTGATATCTTCACCTGAAAAATAGACAGAAGCATTCCAGAAACTGCTTTGTAACATGTGCATTCAACTCACAGTGTTGAACCTTCCTTTTGAGAGAGCGGTTTTGAAACAGTCTTTTTGTAGTATCTGCAAGTGGATATTTGCAGTGATTTGAGGCCGAAGAAGGAAAAGGAAACACCTTCAAATAAAAAACTAGACGGAAGCATTTTCAGAAACTGCCTTGTGATGTGTGCATTCAACTCACAGAGTTGAACCTTCCTTTTGAGAGAGAAGTTTTGAAACAGTCTTTTTGTAGTATTTGCAAGTGGATATTTGGAGCGATTTGTGGAGTATGGTGGAAAATGAAATATCTTCACATACAAACTAAACAGAAGCATTCTCAGAAACTGCTTTGTGATGTGTGCATTTAAGTCACAGACTTGAAACTTCCTTTAGGTAGAGCAGTGTTGAAACACACTTTTTGTATAATCTACAAGTGTTCTTTGGAGTGCTTTGTTGCCTATGTTGGAAAAAGAAATATCTTCACATAAAAACTAGACAGAAGCATTCTCAGAAACTCCTTTGTGATGGGTTTGTTCAATTCACATTGTTGAACCTTTCTTTTGATACAGCAGTGTTGAAACAAACATTTTGTAGAATCTGCAAGGGTTCATTTCAAATGCTTTGTGGCCTCTGTTGGAAAAAGTGATATCTTCACCTAAAAAATAGACAGAAGCATTCTCAGGAACTGCTTTGTAATATGTGCATTCAACTCACAGAGTTGAACCTTCCTTTTGAGAGAGCGGTTTTGAAAGAGTCTTTTTGTAGTATCTGCAAGAGGATATTTGGAGCGATTTGAGGTCTAAGAAGGAAAAGGAAATACCTTCAAATAAAAACTAGACAGATAAGCTTTCTCAGCAAACTGCTTTGTGATGTGTGCATTTAACTCAAAGTCTTGATCCTTACTTTTGTTAGAGCAGTGTTGAAACACACTTTTTGTAGAACCTGGTAGTGTTCATTTGGAGAGATTTGTTGCCTATGGTGGAAAAAGGATTATCTTCTCTTAAAAACTAGACAGAAGCATTCTTAGAAACTGCTTTGTGATGTGTGCATTCAATTCACAGAGTTGAAACTTTCCTTTGACAGAGCAGGTTTGAAACACTGCTTCTGTAGAATCTGCTTGTGGATATTGGGAGCTCCTTGAGGAATACGTTGTAAAAGGCATATCTTCACATACAAACTAGACAGAAGCATTCTCAGAAACTGCTTTGTGATGTGTGCATTCAACCCACAGAGTTGAACCTTCCTTTTGAGAGAGCAGTGTTGAAACGGTCTTTTGTAGTATCTGCAAGTGGATATTTGGAGCGATTTGAGGCCTAGGATGGAAAAGGAAATATCTTCACATACAAACTAGACAGAAGCATTCTCAGATACTGCTTTGTGATGTGTGCATTCAACCGACAGATTTGAACTTTCCTTTGGAGAGGGAGGTTTTGAAACAGTCTTTTTGTAGTATCTGCAAGTGGATATTTGTAGTGACTTGGGGCCTCAGGTGGAAAAGGAAATACCTTCACATACAAAGTAGACAGAAGTATTCTCAGAAACTCCATTGTGATGTGTGCACTCAACTCACAGAGTTGAACCTTCCTTTTGAGAGAGCAGTTTTGAAACAGTCTTTTTGTAACGTCTGCAGGTGGATATTTGGAGCGATTCGTGTAGTATGATGGAAAAGGAAATATCTTCACATACAAACTAAACAGAAGCATTCTCAGAAAATTCTTGTGATGTGTGCGTTCACCTAACAGAGTGGAACCGTTCTTTTGATAGAGCAGTTTTGAATCAGTCTTTTGGTAGGACCTGCAAGTTTTCATTTGGAGCGCTTTGAAGCCCATGGTGGAAAAGGGACTATCTTCACAGAAAACTAGGCAGAAGCCTTCTCAGGAACTTCATTGAGATGTGTGCATTCAACTAACAGAGTTGAAACTGTCTTTTGACAGAGGAGGAATGAAACACTCCTTTTGTAGTATCTGATTGTGTGTATTTGGAACTCTTTGAGTTATTCGTTGGAAACGGGTATCTTCACATAAAAAGTAGACCCAAGCATTCTCAGAAGGTTCTTTGTGATGTGTGCGTTCAACACACAGACTTGAAACTTTCTTTTGATAGAGCAGTGTTGAAACACACTTTTTGTAGAATCCACAAGTATTCGTTTGGAGCGCTTTGTTGCCTATGTGGGAAAAAGGAATATCTTCACTTAAAAACTAGACAGAAGCATTCTCTGAAACTCCTCTGTGTAGTGTGTGTTCAATTCACATCGTTGAACCTTTCTTTTGATAGAGCAGTGTTGAAACATACTTTTTGTAGAATCTGCAAGTGTCCATTTCAAGTTCTTTTGTGCGTATGTTGGAAAAAGTGATATCTTCACCTGAAAAATAGACAGAAAGCATTCCAGAAACTGCTTTGTAACATCTGCATTCAACTCACAGTGTTGAACGTTCCTTTTGAGAGAGCGGTTTTGAAACAGTCTTTTTGTAGTATCTGCAAGTGGATATTTGCAGTGATTTGAGGCCGAAGAAGGAAAAGGAAATACCTTCAAATAAAAAACTAGACGGAAGCATTTTCAGAAACTGCCTTGTGATGTGTGCATTCAACTCACAGAGTTGAACCTTCCTTTTGAGAGAGAAGTTTTGAAACAGTCTTTTTGTAGTATTTGCAAGTGGATATTTGGAGCGATTTGTGGAGTATGGTGGAAAATGAAATATCTTCACATACAAACTAGACAGAAGCATTCTCAGAAACTGCTTTGTGATGTGTGCATTTAAGTCACAGACTTGAAACTTCCTTTAGGTAGAGCAGTGTTGAAACACACTTTTTGTATAATCTACAAGTGTTCTTTGGAGTGCTTTGTTGCCTATGTTGGAAAAAGAAATATCTTCACATAAAAACTAGACAGAAGCATTCTCAGAAACTCCTTTGTGATGGGTTTGTTCAATTCACATTGTTGAACCTTTCTTTTGATACAGCAGTGTTGAAACAAACATTTTGTAGAATCTGCAAGGGTTCATTTCAAATGCTTTACCTCCTATGTTGGAAAAAGTGATATCTTCACCTAAAAAATAGACAGAAGCATTCTCAGGAACTGCTTTGTAATATGTGCATTCAACTCACAGAGTTGAACCTTCCTTTTGAGAGAGCGGTTTTGAAACAGTCTTTTTGTAGTATCTGCAAGTGGATATTTGGAGCGATTTGAGGTCTAAGAAGGAAAAGGAAGTACCTTCAAATAAAAACTAGACAGAAGCTTTCTCAGAAACTGCTTTGTGATGTGTGCATTTAACTCAAAGTCTTGATCCTTACTTTTGTTAGAGCAGTGTTGAAACACACTTTTTGTAGAACCTGGTAGTGTTCATTTGGAGAGATTTGTTGCCTATGGTGGAAAAAGGATTATCTTCTCTTAAAAACTAGACAGAAGCATTCTTAGAAACTGCTTTGTGATGTGTGTGTTCAATTCACAGAGTTGAAACTTTCCTTTGATAGAGCAGGTTTGAAACACTGCTTTTGTAGAATCTGCTTGTGGATATTGGGAGCTCCTTCAGGAATACGTTGTAAAAGACATATCTTCACATACAAACTAGACAGAAGCATTCTCAGAAACTGCTTTGTGATGTGTGCATTCAACTCACAGAGTTGAACCTTCCATTTGAGAGAGCAGTGTTGAAACGGTCTTTTTGTAGTATCTTCAAGTGGATATTTGGAGCGATTTGAGGCCTATGATGGAAAAGGAAATATCTTCACATACAAACTAGACAGAAACATTCTTAGAAACTGCTTTGTGATGTGGGCATTCAACCCACAGAGTTGAACCTTCCTTTTGAGAGAGCAGTGTTGAAACGGTCTTTTGTAGCATCTGCAAGTGGATATTTGGAGCGATTTGAGGCCTATGATGGAAAAGGAAATATCTTCACATACAAACTAGACAGAAGCAGTCTCAGGAACTGCTTTGTGATGTGTGCATTCAACTCACAGATTTGAACTTTCCTTTTGAGAGGGAGGTTTTGAAACAGTCTTTTTGTAGTATCTGCAAGTGGATATTTGTAGTGACTTGGGGCCTCAGATGGAAAAGGAAATACCTTCACATACAAAGTAGACAGAAGTATTCTCAGAAACTCCATTGTGATGTGTGCACTCAACTCACAGAGTTGAACCTTCCTTTTGAGAGAGCAGTTTTGAAACAGTCTTTTTGTAACGTCTGCAGGTGGATATTTGGAGCGATTCGTGTAGTATGATGGAAAAGGAAATATCTTCACATACAAACTAAACAGAAGCATTCTCAGAAACTTCTTGTGATGTGTGCATTCACCTAACAGAGTGGAACCGTTCTTTTGATAGAGCAGTTTTGAATCAGTCTTTTGGTAGGACCTGCAAGTTTTCATTTGGAGCGCTTTGAAGCCCATGGTGGAAAAGGGACTATCTTCACAAAAAACTAGGCAGAAGCCTTCTCAGGATCTTCATTGAGATGTGTGCATTCAAGTAACAGAGTTGAAACTGTCTTTTGACAGAGCAGGAATGAAACACTCCTTTTGTAGTATCTGATTGTGTATATTTGGAACTCTTTGAGTTATTCGTTGGGAACGTGTTTCTTCACATAAAAAGTAGACCCAAGCATTCTCAGAAGGTCCTTTGTGATGTGTGCGTTCAACTCACAGACTTCAAACTTTCTTTTGATAGAGCAGTGTTGAAACACAGTTTTTGTAGAATCCACAAGTATTCATTTGGAGCGCTTTCTTGCCTATGTGGGAAAAAGGAATATCTTCACTTAAAAACTAGACAGAAGCATTCTCTGAAACTCCTCTGTGAAGTGTGTGTCCAATTCACATCGTTGAAACTTTCTTTTGATGGAGCAGTGTTGAAACATACTTTTTGTAGAATCTGCAAGTGTCCATTTCGAGTTCTTTTGTGCGTATGTTGGAAAAAGTGATATCTTCACCTGAAAAATAGACAGAAGCATTCCAGAAACTGCTTTGTAACATGTGCATTCAACTCACAGTGTTGAACGTTCCTTTTGAGAGAGCGGTTTTGAAACAGTCTTTTTGTAGTATCTGCAAGTGGATATTTGCAGTGATTTGAGGCCGAAGAAGGAAAAGGAAATACCTTCAAATAAAAAACTAGACGGAATCATTTTCAGAAACTGCCTTGTGATGTGTGCATTCAACTCACAGAGTTGAACCTTCCTTTTGAGAGAGAAGTTTTGAAACAGTCTTTTTGTAGTATTTGCAAGTGGATATTTGGAGCGATTTGTGGAGTATGGTGGAAAATGAAATATCTTCACATACAAACTAGACAGAAGCATTGTCAGAAATTGCTTTGTGATGTGCGCATTTAAGTCACAGACTTGAAACTTCCTTTAGGTAGAGCAGTGTTGAAACACACTTTTTGTATAATCTACAAGTGTTCTTTGGAGTGCTTTGTTGCCTATGTTGGAAAAAGAAATATCTTCACATAAAAACTAGACAGAAGCATTCTCAGAAACTCCTTTGTGATGGGTTTGTTCAATTCACATTGTTGAACCTTTCTTTTGATACAGCAGTGTTGAAACAAACATTTTGTAGAATCTGCAAGGGTTCATTTCAAATGCTTTGTGGCCTCTGTTGGAAAAAGTGATATCCTTCACCTAAAAAATAGACAGAAGCATTCTCAGGAACTGCTTTGTAATATGTGCATTCAACTCACAGAGTTGAACCTTCCTTTTGAGAGAGCGGTTTTGAAACAGTCTTTTTGTAGTATCTGCAAGTGGATATTTGGAGCGATTTGAGGTCTAAGAAGGAAAAGGAAGTACCTTCAAATAAAAACTAGACAGAAGCTTTCTCAGAAACTGCTTTGTGATGTGTGCATTTAACTCAAAGTCTTGATCCTTACTTTTGTTAGAGCAGTGTTGAAACACACTTTTTGTAGAACCTGGTAGTGTTCATTTGGAGAGATTTGTTGCCTATGGTGGAAAAAGGATTATCTTCTCTTAAAAACTAGACAGAAGCATTCTTAGAAACTGCTTTGTGATGTGTGTGTTCAATTCACAGAGTTGAAACTTTCCTTTGACAGAGCAGGTTTGAAACACTGCTTCTGTAGAATCTGCTTGTGGATATTGGGAGCTCCTTGAGGAATACGTTGTAAAAGGCATATCTTCACATACAAACTAGACAGAAGCATTCTCAGAAACTGCTTTGTGATGTGAGCATTCAACTCACAGAGTTGAACCTTCCATTTGAGAGAGCAGTGTTGAAACAGTCTTTTTGTAGTATCTGCAAGTGGATATTTGGAGCGATTTGAGGCCTATGATGGAAAAGGAAATATCTTCACATACAAACCAGACAGAAGCATTCTCAGAAACTGCTTCATGATGTGTGCATTCAACCCACAGAGTTGAACCTTCCTTTTGAGAGAGCAGTGTTGAAACGGTCTTTTGTAGTATCTGCAAGTGGATATTTGGAGCGATTTGAGGCCTATGATGGAAAAGGAAATATCTTCACATACAAACTAGACAGAAGCATTCTCAGAAACTGCTTTGTGATGTGTGCATTCAACCGACAGATTTGAACTTTCCTTTTGAGAGGGAGGTTTTGAAACAGTCTTTTCGTAGTATCTGCAAGTGGATATTTGTAGTGACTTGGGGCCTCAGATGGAAAAGGAAATACCTTCACATGCAAACTAGACAGAAGTATTCTCAGAAACTCCATTGTGATGTGTGCACTCAACTCACAGAGTTGAACCTTCCTTTTGAGAGAGCAGTTTTGAAACAGTCTTTTTGTAACGTCTGCAGGTGGATATTTGGAGCGATTCGTGTAGTATGATGGAAAAGGAAATATATTCACATACAAACTAAACAGAAGCATTCTCAGAAACGTCTTCTGATGTGTGCGTTGACCTAACAGAGTGGAACCGTTCTTTTGATAGAGCAGTTTCGAATCAGTCTTTTGGTAGGTCCTGCAAGTTTTCATTTGGAGCGCTTTGAAGCCTATGGTGGAAAAGGGAATATCTTCACAAAAATCTAGGCAGAAGCCTTCTCAGGATCTTCATTGAGATGTGTGCATTCAACTAACAGAGTTGAAACTGTCTTTTGACAGAGCAGGAATGAAACACTCCTTTTGTAGTATCTGATTGTGTATATTTGGAACTCTTTGAGTTATTCGTTGGAAACGGGTATCTTCACATAAAAAGTAGACCCAAGCATTCTCAGAAGGTCCTTTGTGATGTGTGCGTTCAACTCACAGACTTGAAACTTTCTTTTGATAGAGCAGTGTTGAAACACAGTTTTTGTAGAATCCACAAGTATTCATTTGGAGCGCTTTGTTGCCTATGTGGGAAAAAGGAATATCTTCACTTAAAAACTAGACAGAAGCATTCTCTGAAACTCCTCTGTGAAGTGTGTGTTCAATTCACATCGTTGAACCTTTCTTTTGATAGAGCAGTGTTGAAACATACTTTTTGTAGAATCTGCAAGTGTCCATTTCGAGTTCTTTTGTGCGTATGTTGGAAAAAGTGATATCTTCACCTGAAAAATAGACAGAAGCATTCCAGAAACTGCTTTGTAACATGTGCATTCAACTCACAGTGTTGAACCTTCCTTTTGAGAGAGCAGTTTTGAAACAGTCTTTTTGTAGTATCTGCAAGTGGATATTTGCAGTGATTTGAGGCCGAAGAAGGAAAAGGAAATACCTTCAAATAAAAAACTAGACGGAAAGCATTTTCAGAAACTGCCTTGTGATGTGTGCATTCAACTCACAGAGTTGAACCTTCCTTTTGAGAGAGAAGTTTTGAAACAGTCTTTTTGTAGTATTTGCAAGTGGATATTTGGAGCGATTTGTGGAGTATGGTGGAAAATGAAATATCTTCACATACAAACTAGACAGAAGCATTGTCAGAAACTGCTTTGTGATGTGTGCATTTAAGTCACAGACTTGAAACTTCCTTTAGGTAGAGCAGTGTTGAAACACACTTTTTGTATAATCTACAAGTGTTCTTTGGAGTGCTTTGTTGCCTATGTTGGAAAAAGAAATATCTTCACATAAAAACTAGACAGAAGCATTCTCAGAAACTCCTTTGTGATGGGTGTGTTCAATTCACATTGTTGAACCTTTCTTTTGATACAGCAGTGTTGAAACAAACATTTTGTAGAATCTGCAAGTGTTCATTTCAAATGCTTTGTGGCCTATGTTGGAAAAAGTGATATCTTCACCTAAAAAATAGACAGAAGCATTCTCAGGAACTGCTTTGTAATATGTGCATTCAACTCACAGAGTTGAACCTTCCTTTTGAGAGAGCAGTTTTGAAACAGTCTTTTTGTAGTATCTGCAAGTGGATATTTGGAGCGATTTGAGGTCTAAGAAGGAAAAGGAAGTACCTTCAAATAAAAACTAGACAGAAGCTTTCTCAGAAACTGCTTTGTGATGTGTGCATTTAACTCAAAGTCTTGATCCTTACTTTTGTTAGAGCAGTGTTGAAACACACTTTTTGTAGAACCTGGTAGTGTTCATTTGGAGAGATTTTTTGCCTATGGTGGAAAAAGGATTATCTTCTCTTAAAAACTAGACAGAAGCATTCTTAGAAACTGCTTTGTGATGTGTGTGTTCAATTCACAGAGTTGAAACTTTCCTTTGACATAGCAGGTTTGAAACACTGCTTCTGTAGAATCTGCTTGTGGATATTGGGAGCTCCTTGAGGAATACGTTGTAAAAGGCATATCTTCACATACAAACTAGACAGAAGCATTCTCAGAAACTGCTTTGTGATGTGTGCATTCAACTCACAGAGTTGAACCTTCCATTTGAGAGAGCAGTGTTGAAACGGTCTTTTTGTAGTATCTTCAATTGGATATTTGGAGCGATTTGAGGCCTATGATGGAAAAGGAAATATCTTCACATACAAACTAGACAGAAGCATTCTCAGAAACTGCTTTGTGATGTGTGCATTCAACCCACAGAGTTGAACCTTCCTTTTGAGAGAGCAGTGTTGAAACGGTCTTTTGTAGTATCTGCAAGTGGATATTTGGAGCGATTTGAGGCCTATGATGGAAAAGGAAATATCTTCACATACAAACTAGACAGAAGCATTCTCAGAAACTGCTTTGTGATGTGTGCATTCAACCGACAGATTTGAACTTTCCTTTGGAGAGGGAGGTTTTGAAACAGTCTTTTTGTAGTATCTGCAAGTGGATATTTGTAGTGACTTGGGGCCTCAGGTGGAAAAGGAAATACCTTCACATACAAAGTAGACAGAAGCATTCCAAGAAACTGCTTTGTGATGTGTGCATTCAACTCACAGAGTTGAAACATCCTTTTGAGAGAGCAGTTTTGAAACAGTATTTTTGTAGTATTTGCAAGTGGATATTTGGAGCGATTTGAGGCCTGTGATGGAAAAGGAAATATCTTCACATAAAAACTAGACAGAAGCATTCTCACAAACAACTTTGTGATGTGTGCATTCACCTCACAGAGTGGAACCCTTCTTTTCATAGAGCAGTTTTGAAACAGTCTTTTTGTAGAATCTGCAAGTGTTCATTTGGAGCACTTTGAAGACTGTGGGGGAAAAGGAAATATCTTCAAGTAAAAACTAGACAGAAGCCTTCTCAGGAACTTCATTGAGATGTGTGCATTCAACTAACAGAGTTGAAACTGTCTTTTGACAGAGGAGGAATGAAACACTCCTTTTGTATTATCTGATTGTGTATATTTGGAACTCTTTGAGTTATTCGTTGGAAACGGGTATCTTCACATAAAAAGTAGACCCAAGCATTCTCGGAAGGTTCTTTGTGATGTGTGCGTTCAACTCACAGACTTGAAACTTTCTTTTGATAGAGCAGTGTTGAAACACAGTTTTTGTAGAATCCACAAGTATTCATTTGGAGCGCTTTGTTGCCTATGTGGGAAAAAGGAATATCTTCACTTAAAAACTAGACAGAAGCATTCTCTGAAACTCCTCTGTGAAGTGTGTGTTCAATTCACATCGTTGAACCTTTCTTTTGATAGAGCAGTGTTGAAACATATTTTTGTAGAATCTGCAAGTGTCCATTTCGAGTTCTTTTGTGCGTATGTTGGAAAAAGTGATATCTTCACCTGAAAAATAGACAGAAGCATTCCAGAAACTGCTTTGTAACATGTGCATTCAACTCACAGTGTTGAACCTTCCTTTTGAGAGAGCGGTTTTGAAACAGTCTTTTTGTAGTATCTGCAAGTGGATATTTGCAGTGATTTGAGGCCGAAGAAGGAAAAGGAAATACTTTCAATAAAAAAACTAGACGGAATCATTTTCAGAAACTGCCTTGTGATGTGTGCATTCAACTCACAGAGTTGAACCTTCCTTTTGAGAGAGAAGTTTTGAAACAGTCTTTTTGTAGTATTTGCAAGTGGATATTTGGAGCGATTTGTGGAGTATGGTGGAAAATGAAATATCTTCACATACAAACTAGACAGAAGCATTGTCAGAAATTGCTTTGTGATGTGCGCATTTAAGTCACAGACTTGAAACTTCCTTTAGGTAGAGCAGTGTTGAAACACACTTTTTGTATAATCTACAAGTGTTCTTTGGAGTGCTTTGTTGCCTATGTTGGAAAAAGAAATATCTTCACATAAAAACTAGACAGAAGCATTCTCAGAAACTCCTTTGTGATGGGTGTGTTCAATTCACATTGTTGAACCTTTCTTTTGATACAGCAGTGTTGAAACAAACATTTTGTAGAATCTGCAAGTGTTCATTTCAAATGCTTTGTGGCCTATGTTGGAAAAAGTGATATCTTCACCTAAAAAATAGACAGAAGCATTCCAGAAACTGCTTTGCAACATGTGCATTCAACTCACAGTGTTGAACCTTCCTTTTGAGAGAGCGGTTTTCAAACAGTCTTTTTGTAGTATCTGCAAGTGGATATTTGGAGCGATTTGAGGTCTAAGAAGGAAAAGGAAATACCTTCAAATAAAAACTAGACAGAAGCTTTCTCAGAAACTGCTTTGTGATGTGTGCATTTAACTCAAAGTCTTGATCCTTACTTTTGTTAGAGCAGTGTTGAAACACACTTTTTGTAGAACCTGGTAGTGTTCATTTGGAGAGATTTGTTGCCTATGGTGGAAAAATGATTATCTTCTCTTAAAAACTAGACAGAAGCATTCTTAGAAACTGCTTTGTGATGTGTGTGTTCAATTCACAGAGTTGAAACTTTCTTTGACAGAGCAGGTTTGAAACACTGCTTCTGTAGAATCTGCTTGTGGATATTGGGAGCTCCTTGAGGAATACGTTGTAAAAGGCATATCTTCACATACAAACTAGACAGAAGCATTCTCAGAAACTGCTTTGTGATGTGTGCATTCCACTCACACAGTTGAACCTTCCTTTTGAGAGAGCAGTTTTGAAACAGTCTTTTTGGAGTATCTGCCAGTGGATATTTGGAGCGATTTGAGGCCTGTGAATGAAAAGGAAATATCTTCACATAAAAACTAGACAGAAGCATTCTCAGAAACTGCTTTGTGATGTGTGCATTCAACCCACAGAGTTGAACCTTCCTTTTGAGAGAGCAGTGTTGAAATGGTCTTTTGTAGTATCTGCAAGTGGATATTTGGAGCGATTTGAGGCCTATGATGGAAAAGGAAATATCTTCACATACAAACTAGACAGAAGCATTCTCAGAAACTGCTTTGTGATGTGTGCATTCAACCGACAGATTTGAACTTTCCTTTTGAAGGGGAGGTTTTGAAACAGTCTTTTTGTAGTATCTGCAAGTGGATATTTGTGGTGACTTGGGGCCTCAGATGGAAAAGGAAATACCTTCACATACAAACTAGACAGAGAATATCTCAGAAACTCCATTGTGATGTGTGCACTCAACTCACAGAGTTGAACCTTCCTTTTGAGAGAGCAGTTTTGAAACAGTCTTTTTGTAACGTCTGCAGGTGGATATTTGGAGCGATTCGTGTAGTATGATGGAAAAGGAAATATCTTCACATACAAACTAAACAGAAGCATTCTCAGAAACTTCTTGTGATGTGTGCATTCACCTAACAGAGTGGAACCGTTCTTTTGATAGAGCAGTTTTGAATCAGTCTTTTGGTAGGACCTGCAAGTTTTCATTTGGAGCGCTTTGAAGCCCATGGTGGAAAAGGGACTATCTTCACAAAAAACTAGGCAGAAGCCTTCTCAGGAACTTCATTGAGATGTGTGCATTCAACTAACAGAGTTGAAACTGTCTTTTGACAGAGGAGGAATGAAACACTCCTTTTGTAGTATCTGATTGTGTATATTTGGAACTCTTTGAGTTATTCGTTGGAAACGGGTATCTTCACATAAAAAGTAGACCCAAGCATTCTCAGAAGGTTCTTTGTGATGTGTGCGTTCAACTCACAGACTTGAAACTTTCTTTTGATAGAGCAGTGTTGAAACACACGTTTTGTAGAAACCGCAAGTATTCATTTGGAGCGCTTTGTTGCCTATGTGGGAAAAAGGAATATCTTCACTTAAAAACTAGACAGAAGCATTCTCTGAAACTCCTCTGTGAAGTGTGTGTTCAATTCACATCGTTGAACCTTTCTTTTGATGGAGCAGTGTTCAAACATACTTTTTGTAGAATCTGCAAGTGTCCATTTCGAGTTCTTTTGTGCGTATGTTGGAAAAAGTGATATCTTCACCTGAAAAATAGACAGAAGCATTCCAGAAACTGCTTTGTAACATGTGCATTCAACTCACAGTGTTGAACCTTCCTTTTGAGAGAGCGGTTTTGAAACAGTCTTTTTGTAGTATCTGCAAGTGGATATTTGCAGTGATTTGAGGCCGAAGAAGGAAAAGGAAACACCTTCAAACAAAAAACTAGACGGAAGCATTTTCAGAAACTGCCTTGTGATGTGTGCATTCAGCTCACAGAGTTGAACCTTCCTTTTGAGAGAGAAGTTTTGAAACAGTCTTTTTGTAGTATTTGCAAGTGGATATTTGGAGCGATTTGTGGAGTATGGTGGAAAATGAAATATCTTCACATACAAACTAGACAGAAGCATTCTCAGAAACTGCTTTGTGATGTGTGCATTTAAGTCACAGACTTGAAACTTCCTTTAGGTAGAGCAGTGTTGAAACACACTTTTTGTATAATCTACAAGTGTTCTTTGGAGTGCTTTGTTGCCTATGTTGGAAAAAGAAATATCTTCACATAAAAACTAGACAGAAGCATTCTCAGAAACTCCTTTGTGATGGGTGTGTTCAATTCACATTGTTGAACCTTTCTTTTGATACAGCAGTGTTGAAACAAACATTTTGTAGAATCTGCAAGTGTTCATTTCAAATGCTTTGTGGCCTATGTTGGAAAAAGTGATATGTTCTCCTAAAAAATAGACAGAAGCATTCTCAGGAACTGCTTTGTAATATGTGCATTCAACTCAGAGAGTTGAACCTTCCCTTTGAGAGAGCGGTTTTGAAACAGTCTTTTTGTAGTATCTGCAAGTGGATATTTGGAGCGATTTGAGGTCTAAGAAGGAAAAGGAAGTACCTTCAAATAAAAACTAGACAGAAGCTTTCTCAGAAACTGCTTTGTGATGTGTGCATTTAACTCAAAGTCTTGATCCTTACTTTTGTTAGAGCAGTGTTGAAACACACTTTTTGTAGAACCTGGTAGTGTTCATTGGGAGAGATTTGTTGCCTATGGTGGAAAAAGGATTATCTTCTCTTAAAAACTAGACAGAAGCATTCTTAGAAACTGCTTTGTGATGTGTGTGTTCAATTCACAGAGTTGAAACTTTCCTTTGACAGAGCAGGTTTGAAACACTGCTTCTGTAGAATCTGCTTGTGGATATTGGGAGCTACTTGAGGAATACGTTGTAAAAGGCATATCTTCACATACAAACTAGACAGAAGCATTCTCAGAAACTGCTTTGTGATGTGCGCATTCAACTCACAGAGTTGAACCTTCCATTTGAGAGAGCAGTGTGGAAACGGTCTTTTTGTAGTATCTTCAATTGGATATTTGGAGCGATTTGAGGCCTATGATGGAAAAGGAAATATCTTCACATACAAACTAGACAGAAGCATTCTCAGAAACTGCTTTGTGATGTGTGCATTCAACCCACAGAGTTGAACCTTCCTTTTGAGAGAGCAGTGTTGAAACGGTCTTTTGTAGTATCTGCAAGTGGATATTTGGAGCGATTTGAGGCCTATGATGGAAAAGGAAATATCTTCACATACAAACTAGACAGAAGCATTCTCAGAAACTGCTTTGTGATGTGTGCATTCAACCGACAGATTTGAACTTTCCTTTGGAGAGGGAGGTTTTGAAACAGTCTTTTTGTAGTATCTGCAAGTGGATATTTGTAGTGACTTGGGGCCTCAGGTGGAAAAGGAAATACCTTCACATACAAAGTAGACAGAAGTATTCTCAGAAACTCCATTGTGATGTGTGCACTCAACTCACAGAGTTGAACCTTCCTTTTGAGAGAGCAGTTTTGAAACAGTCTTTTTTTAACGTCTGCAGGTGGATATTTGGAGCGATTCGTGTAGTATGATGGAAAAGGAAATATCTTCACATACAAACTAAACAGAAGCATTCTCAGAAACTTCTTGTGATGTGTGCGTTCACCTAACAGAGTGGAACCGTTCTTTTGATAGAGCCGTTTTGAATCAGTCTTTTGGTAGGACCTGCAAGTTTTCATTTGGAGCGCTTTGAAGCCCATGGTGGAAAAGGGACTATCTTCACAAAAAACTAGGCAGAAGCCTTCTCAGGAACTTCATTGAGATGTGTGCATTCAACTAACAGAGTTGAAACTGTCTTTTGACAGAGGAGGAATGAAACACTCCTTTTGTAGTATCTGATTGTGTGTATTTGGAACTCTTTGAGTTATTCGTTGGAAACGGGTATCTTCACATAAAAAGTAGACCCAAGCATTCTCAGAAGGTTCTTTGTGATGTGTGCGTTCAACTCACAGACTTGAAACTTTCTTTTGATAGAGCAGTGTTGAAACACACTTTTTGTAGAATCCACAAGTATTCGTTTGGAGCGCTTTGTTGCCTATGTGGGAAAAAGGAATATCTTCACTTCAAAACTAGACAGAAACATTCTCTGAAACTCCTCTGTGAAGTGTGTGTTCAATTCACATCGTTGAACTTTTCTTTTGATAGAGCAGTGTTGAAACATACTTTTTGTAGAATCTGCAAGTGTCCATTTCGAGTTCTTTTGTGCGTATGTTGGAAAAAGTGATATCTTCACCTGAAAAATAGACAGAAGCATTCCAGAAACTGCTTTGTAACATGTGCATTCAACTCACAGTGTTGAACCTTCCTTTTGAGAGAGCGGTTTTGAAACAGTCTTTTTGTAGTATCTGCAAGTGGATATTTGCAGTGATTTGAGGCCGAAGAAGGAAAAGGAAATACTTTCAATAAAAAAACTAGACGGAAGCATTTTCAGAAACTGCCTTGTGATGTGTGCATTCAACTCACAGAGTTGAACCTTCCTTTTGAGAGAGAAGTTTTGAAACAGTCTTTTTGTAGTATTTGCAAGTGGATATTTGGAGCGATTTGTGGAGTATGGTGGAAAATGAAATATCTTCACATACAAACTAGACAGAAGCATTGTCAGAAACTGCTTTGTGATGTGTGCATTTAAGTCACAGACTTGAAACTTCCTTTAGGTAGAGCAGTGTTGAAACACACTTTTTGTATAATCTACAAGTGTTCTTTGGAGTGCTTTGTTGGCTACGTTGAAAAAGAAATATCTTCACATAGAAACTAGACAGAAGCATTCACAGAAACTCCTTTGTGATGGGTTTGTTCAATTCACATTGTTGAACCTTTCTTTTGATACAGCAGTGTTGAAACAAACATTTTGTAGAATCTGCAAGTGCTCATTTCAAATGCTTTGTGGCCTATGTTGGAAAAAGAGATACCTTCACCTAAAAAATAAACAGAAGCATTCTCAGGAACTGCTTTGTAATATGTGCATTCAACTCACAGAGTTGAACCTTCCTTTTGAGAGAGCGGTTTTGAAACAGTCTTTTTGTAGTATCTGCAAGTGGATATTTGGAGCGATTTGAGGTCTAAGAAGGAAAAGGAAGTACCTTCAAATAAAAACTAGACAGAAGCTTTCTCAGAAACTGCTTTGTGATGTGTGCATTTAACTCAAAGTCTTGATCCTTACTTTTGTTAGAGCAGTGTTGAAACACACTTTTTGTAGAACCTGGTAGTGTTCATTTGGAGAGATTTGTTGCCTATGGTGGAAAAAGGATTATCTTCTCTTAAAAACTAGACAGAAGCATTCTTAGAAACTGCTTTGTGATGTGTGTGTTCAATTCACAGAGTTGAAACTTTCCTTTGATAGAGCAGGTTTGAAACACTGCTTTTGTAGAATCTGCTTGTGGATATTGGGAGCTCCTTGAGGAATACGTTGTAAAAGGCATATCTTCACATACAAACTAGACAGAAGCATTCTCAGAAACTGCTTTGTGATGTGTGCATTCAACTCACAGAGTTGAACCTTCCATTTGAGAGAGCAGTGTTGAAACAGTCTTTTTGTAGTATCTGCAAGTGGATATTTGGAGCGATTTGAGGCCTATGATGGAAAAGGAAATATCTTCACATACAAACTAGACAGAAGCATTCTCAGAAACTGCTTTGTGATGTGTGCATTCAACCCACAGAGTTGAACCTTCCTTTTGAGAGAGCAGTGTTGAAACGGTCTTTTGTAGTATCTGCAAGTGGATATTTGGAGCGATTTGAGGCCTATGATGGAAAAGGAAATATCTTCACATGCAAAGTAGACAGAAGCATTCTCAGAAACTGCTTTGTGATGTGTGCATTCAACCGACAGATTTGAACTTTCCTTTGGAGAGGGAGGTTTTGAAACAGTCTTTTTGTAGTATCTGCAAGTGGATATTTGTAGTGACTTGGGGCCTCAGATGGAAAAGGAAATACCTTCACATACAAACTAGACAGAAGTATTCTCAGAAACTCCATTGTGATGTGTGCACTCAACTCACAGAGTTGAACCTTCCTTTTGAGAGAGCAGTTTTGAAACAGTCTTTTTGTAACGTCTGCAGGTGGATATTTGGAGCGATTCGAGTAGTATGATGGAAAAGGAAATATCTTCACATACAAACTAAACAGAAGCATTCTCAGAAACTTCTTGTGATGTGTGCGTTCACCTAACAGAGTGGAACCGTTCTTTTGATAGAGCAGTTTTGAATCGGTCTTTTGGTTGGACCTGCAAGTTTTCATTTGGAGCGCTTTGAAGCCCATGGTGGAAAAGGGACTATCTTCACAAAAAACTAGGCAGAAGCCTTCTCAGGAACTTCATTGAGATGTGTGCATTCAACTAACAGAGTTGAAACTGTCTTTTGACAGAGGAGGAATGAAACACTCCTTTTGTAGTATCTGATTGTGTGTATTTGGAACTCTTTGAGTTATTCGTTGGAAACGGGTATCTTCACATAAAAAGTAGACCCAAGCATTCTCAGAAGGTTCTTTGTGATGTGTGCGTTCAACTCACAGACTTGAAACTTTCTTTTGATAGAGCAGTGTTGAAACACACTTTTTGTAGAATCCACAAGTATTCGTTTGGAGCGCTTTGTTGCCTGTGTGGGAAAAAGGAATATCTTCACTTAAAAACTAGACAGAAGCATTCTCTGAAACTCCTCTGTGAAGTGTGTGTTCAATTCACATCGTTGAACCTTTCTTTTGATGGAGCAGTGTTGAAACATACTTTTTGTAGAATCTGCAAGTGTCCATTTCGAGTTCTTTTGTGCGTATGTTGGAAAAAGTGATATCTTCACCTGAAAAATAGACAGAAGCATTCCAGAAACTGCTTTGTAACATGTGCATTCAACTCACAGTGTTGAACCTTCCTTTTGAGAGAGCGGTTTTGAAACAGTCTTTTTGTAGTATCTGCAAGTGGATATTTGCAGTGATTTGAGGCCGAAGAAGGAAAAGGAAATACCTTCAAATAAAAAACTAGACGGAAGCATTTTCAGAAACTGCCTTGTGATGTGTGCATTCAACTCACAGAGTTGAACCTTCCTTTTGAGAGAGAAGTTTTGAAACAGTCTTTTTGTAGTATTTGCAAGTGGATATTTGGAGCGATTTGTGGAGTATGGTGATAAATGAAATATCTTCACATACAAACTAGACAGAAGCATTCTCAGAAACTACTTTGTGATGTGTGCATTTAACTCACGGACTTGAAACTTCCTTTAGATAGAGCAGTGTTGAAACACACTTTTTGTATAATCTACAAGTGTTCTTTGGAGTGCTTTGTTGCCTATGATGGAAAAAGAAATATCTTCACATAACAACTAGACAGAAGCATTCTCAGAAACTCCTTTGTGATGGGTGTGTTCAATTCACATTGTTGAACCTTGCTTTTGATACAGCAGTGTTGAAACAAACATTTTGTAGAATCTGCAAGTGTTCATTTCAAATGCTTTGTGGCCTATGTTGGAAAAAGTGATATCTTCACCTAAAAAATAGACAGAAGCATTCTCAGGAACTGCTTTGTAATATGTGCATTCAACTCACAGAGTTGAACCTTCCTTTTGAGAGAGCGGTTTTGAAAGAGTCTTTTTGTAGTATCTGCAAGTGGATATTTGGAGCGATTTGAGGTCTAAGAAGGAAAAGGAAATACCTTCAAATAAAAACTAGACAGAAGCTTTCTCAGAAACTGCTTTGTGATGTGTGCATTTAACTCAAAGTCTTGATCCTTACTTTTGTTAGAGCAGTGTTGAAACACACTTTTTGTAGAACCTGGTAGTGTTCATTTGGAGAGATTTGTTGCCTATGGTGGAAAAAGGATTATCTTCTCTTAAAAACTAGACAGAAGCATTCTTAGAAACTGCTTTGTGATGTGTGTGTTCAATTCACAGAGTTGAAACTTTCCTTTGACAGAGCAGGTTTGAAACACTGCTTCTGTAGAATCTGCTTGTGGATATTGGGAGCTCCTTGAGGAATACATTGTAAAAGGCATATCCTCACATACAAACTAAACAGAAGCATTCTCAGAAACTGCTTTGTGATGTGTGCATTCAACTCACAGAGGTGAACCTTCCATTTGAGAGAGCAGTGTTGAAACGGTCTTTTTGTAGTATCTTCAAGTGGATATTTGGAGCGATTTGAGGCCTATGATGGAAAAGGAAATATCTTCACATACAAACTAGACAGAAGCATTCTCAGAAACTTTTTTGTGATGTGTGCATTCAACCCACAGAGTTGAACCTTCCTTTTGAGAGAGCAGTGTTGAAACGGTCTTTTGTAGTATCTGCAAGTGGATATTTGGAGCGATTTGAAGCCTATGATGGAAAAGGAAATATCTTCACATACAAACTAGACAGAAGCATTCTCAGAAACTGCTTTGTGATGTGTGCATTCAACCGACAGATTTGAACTTTCCTTTGGAGAGGGAGGTTTTGAAACAGTCTTTTTGTAGTATCTGCAAGTGGATATTTGTAGTGACTTGGGGCCTCAGGTGGAAAAGGAAATACCTTCACATACAAAGTAGACCAGAAGTATTCTCAGAAACTCCATTGTGATGTGTGCACTCAACTCACAGAGTTGAACCTTCCTTTTGAGAGAGCAGTTTTGAAACAGTCTTTTTGTAATGTCTGCAGGTGGATATTTGGAGCGATTCGAGTACTATGATGGAAAAGGAAATATCTTCACATACAAACTAAACAGAAGCATTCTCAGAAACTTGTTGTGATGTGTGTATTCACCTAAAAGAGTGGAACCGTTCTTTTGATAGAGCAGTTTTGAATCAGTCTTTTGGTAGGACCTGCAAGTTTTCATTTGGAGCGCTTTGACGCCCATGGTGGAAAAGGCACTATCTTCACAAAAAACTAGGCAGAAGCCTTCTCAGGAACTTCATTGAGATGTGTGCATTCAACTAACAGAGTTGAAACTGTCTTTTGACAGAGGAGGAATGAAACACTCCTTTTGTAGTATCTGATTGTGTATATTTGGAACTCTTTGAGTTATTCGTTGGAAACGGGTATCTTCACATAAAAAGTAGACCCAAGCATTCTCAGAAGGTTCTTTGTGATGTGTGCGTTCAACTCACAGACTTGAAACTTTCTTTTGATAGAGCAGTGTTGAAACACACTTTTTGTAGAATCCACAAGTATTCGTTTGGAGCGCTTTGTTGCCTATGTGGGAAAAAGTAATATCTTCACTTAAAAACTAGACAGAAGCATTCTCTGAAACTCCTCTGTGAAGTGTGTGTTCAATTCACATCGTTGAACCTTTCTTTTGATAGAGCAGTGTTGAAACATACTTTTTGTAGAATCTTTAAGTGTCCATTTCGAGTTCTTTTGTGCGTATGTTGGAAAAAGTGATATCTTCACCTGAAAAATAGACAGAAGCATTCCAGAAACTGCGTTGTAACATGTGCATTCAACTCACAGTGTTGAACGTTCCTTTTGATAGAGCGGTTTTGAAACAGTCTTTTTGTAGTATCTGCAAGTGGATATTTGCAGTGATTAGAGGCCAAAGAAGGAAAAGGAAATACCTTCAAATAAAAAAATAGACTGAAGTATTCTCAGAAACTCCATTGTGATGTGTGCACTCAACTCACAGAGTTGAACCTTCCTTTTGAGAGAGCAGTTTTGAAACAGTCTTTTTGTAGTATTTGCAAGTGGATATTTGGAGCGATTTGTGGAGTATGGTGGAAAATGAAATATCTTCACATACAAACTAGACAGAAGCATTGTCAGAAACTGCTTTGTGATGTGTGCATTTAAGTCACAGACTTGAAACTTCCTTTAGGTAGAGCAGTGTTGAAACACACTTTTTGTATAATCTACAAGTGTTCTTTGGAGTGCTTTGTTGCCTATGTTGGAAAAAGAAATATCTTCACATAAAAACTAGACAGAAGCATTCTCAGAAACTCCTTTGTGATGGGTGTGTTCAATTCACATTGTTGAACCTTTCTTTTGATACAGCAGTGTTGAATCAAACATTTTGTAGAATCTGCAAGTGTTCATTTCAAATGCTTTGTGGCCTATGTTGGAAAAAGTGATATCTTCACCTAAAAAATAGACAGAAGCATTCTCAGGAACTGCTTTGTAATATGTGCATTCAACTCACAGAGGTGAACCTTCCTTTTGAGAGAGCGGTTTTGAAACAGTCTTTTTGTAGTATCTGCAAGTGGATATTGGGAGTGATTTGAGGTCTAAGAAGGAAAAGGAAATACCTTCAAATAAAAACTAGACAGAAGCTTTCTCAGAAACTTCTTTGTGATGTGTGCATTTAACTCAAAGTCTTGATCCTTTCTTTTGATAGAGCAGTGTTGAAACACACTTTTTGTAGAATCTGCTAGTGTTCATTTGGAGAGATTTGTTGCCTATGGTGGAAAAAGGATTATCTTCTCTTAAAAACTAGAGAGAAGCATTCTTAGAAACTGCTTTGGAATGTGTGTGCTCAATTCACAGAGTTGAAACTTTCCTTTGATAGAGCAGTTTTGAAACACTGCTTTTGTAGAATCTGCTTGTGGATATTTGGAGCTCTTTGAGGAATACGTTGTAAAAGGCATATCTTCACATACAAACTAGACAGAAGCATTCTCAGAAACTCCGTTGTGATGTGTGCCTTCAACTCAGAGAGTTGAACCTTCCATTTGAGAGAGCAGTGTTGAAACAGTCTTTTTGTAGTATCTGCAAGTGGATATTTGGAGCGATTTGAGGCCTATGATGGAAAAGGAAATATCTTCACATACAAACTAGACAGAAGCATTCTCAGAAACTGCTTTGTGATGTGTGCATTCAACCCACAGAGTTGAACCTTCCTGTTGAGAGAGCAGTGTTGAAACGGTCTTTTGTAGTATCTGCAAGTGGATATTTGGAGCGATTTGAGGCCTATGATGGAAAAGGAAATATCTTCACATACAAACTAGACAGAAGCATTCTCAGAAACTGCTTTGTGATGTGTGCATTCAGCCGACAGATTTGAACTTTCCTTTGGAGAGGGAGGTTTTGAAACAGTCTTTTTGTAGTATCTGCAAGTGGATATTTGTAGTGACTTGGGGCCTCAGGTGGAAAAGGAAATACCTTCACATACAAAGTAGACAGAAGTATTCTCAGAAACTCCATTGTGATGTGTGCACTCAACTCACAGAGTTGAACCTTCCTTTTGAGAGAGCAGTTTTGAAACAGTCTTTTTGTAACGTCTGCAGGTGGATATTTGGAGCGATTCGTGTAGTATGATGGAAAAGGAAATATCTTCACATACAAACTAAACAGAAGCATTCTCAGAAACTTCTTGTGATGTGTGCATTCACCTAACCGAGTGGAACCGTTCTTTTGATAGAGCAGTTTTGAATCAGTCTTTTGGTAGGACCTGCAAGTTTTCATTTGGAGCGCTTTGAAGCCCATGGTGGAAAAGGGACTATCTTCACAAAAAACTAGGCAGAAGCCTTCTCAGGAACTTCATTGAGATGTGTGCATTCAACTAACAGAGTTGAAACTATCTTTTGACAGAGCAGGAGTGAAACACTCCTTTTGTAGTATCTGATTGTGTATATTTGGAACTCTTTGAGTTATTCTTTGGAAACGGGTATCTTCACATAAAAAGTAGACCCAAGCATTCTCAGAAGGTTCTTTGTGATGTGTGCGTTCAACTCACAGACTTGAAACTTTCTTTTGATAGAGCTGTGTTGAAACACACTTTTTGAAGATTCCACAAGTATTCATTTGGAGCGCTTTGTTGCCTATGTGGGAAAAAGTAATATCTTCACTTCAAAACTAGACAGAAGCATTCTCTGAAACTCCTCTGTGAAGTGTGTGTCCAATTCACATCGTTGAGCCTTTCTTTTGATAGAGCAGTGTTGAAACATACTTTTTGTAGAATCTGCAAGTGTCCATTTCAAGTTCTTTTGTGCGTATGTTGGAAAAAGTGATATCTTCACCTGGAAAATAGACAGAAGCATTCCAGTAAACTGCTTTGTAACATCTGCATTCAACTCACAGTGTTGAACGTTCCTTTTGAGAGAGCGGTTTTGAAACAGTCTTTTTGTAGTATCTGCAAGTGGATATTTGCAGTGATTTGAGGCCGAAGAAGGAAAAGGAAATACCTTCAAATAAAAAACTAGACGGAAGCATTTTCAGAAACTGCCTTGTGATGTGTGCATTCAACTCACAGAGTTGAACCTTCCTTTTGAGAGAGAAGTTTTGAAACAGTCTTTTTGTAGTATTTGCAAGTGGATATTTGGAGCGATTTGTGGAGTATGGTGGAAAATGAAATATCTTCACATACAAACTAGACAGAAGCATTCTCAGAAACTGCTTTGTGATGTGTGCATTTAAGTCACAGACTTGAAACTTCCTTTAGGTAGAGCAGTGTTGAAACACACTTTTTGTATAATCTACAAGTGTTCTTTGGAGTGCTTTGTTGCCTATGTTGGAAAAAGAAATATCTTCACATAAAAACTAGACAGAAGCATTCTCAGAAACTCCTTTGTGATGGGTTTGTTCAATTCACATTGTTGAACCTTTCTTTTGATACAGCAGTGTTGAAACAAACATTTTGTAGAATCTGCAAGTGCTCATTTCAAATGCTTTGTGGCCTATGTTGGAAAAAGTGATATCTTCACCTAAAAAATAGACAGAAGCATTCTCAGGAACTGCTTTGTGATGTGTGCATTCAACTCACAGAGTTGAACCTTCCTTTTGAGAGAGCGGTTTTGAAACAGTCTTTTTGTAGTATCTGCAAGTCGATATTTGGAGCGATTTGAGGTCTAAGAAGGAAAAGGAAGTACCTTCAAATAAAAACTAGACAGAAGCTTTCTCAGAAACTGCTTTGTGATGTGTGCATTTAACTCAAAGTCTTGATCCTTACTTTTGTTAGAGCAGTGTTGAAACACACTTTTTGTAGAACCTGGTAGTGTTCATTTGGAGAGATTTGTTGCCTATGGTGGAAAAATGATTATCTTCTCTTAAAAACTAGACAGAATCATTCTCAGAAACACCTTTGTGATGTGTCTGTTCAATTCACAGAGTTGAACCTTTCTTTTGATGGAGCAATTTTGAAAAACGGCTTTTGTAGAAATTGTTTGTGGATATTTGGAGCTCTCTGAGGAATTTGTTGCAAACGGGATACCTTCACATACAAACTAGACAGAAGCATTCTCAGAAACTGCTTTGTGATGTGTGCATTCAACTCACAGAGTTGAACCTTCCATTTGAGAGAGCAGTGTTGAAACAGTCTTTTTGTAGTATCTTCAAGTGGATATTTGGAGCGATTTGAGGCCTATGATGGAAAAGGAAATATCTTCACATACAAAGTAGACAGAAGCAATCTCAGAAACTGCTTTGTGATGTGTGCATTCAACCCACAGAGTTGAACCTTCCTTTTGAGAGAGCAGTGTTGAAACGGTCTTTTGTAGTATCTGCAAGTGGATATTTGGAGCGATTTGAGGCCTAGGATGGAAAAGGAAATATCTTCACATACAAACTAGACAGAAGCATTCTCAGAAACTGCTTTGTGATGTGTGCATTCAACCGACAGATTTGAACTTTCCTTTTGAGAGGGAGGTTTTGAAACAGTCTTTTTGTAGTATCTGCAAGTGGATATTTGTAGTGACTTGGGGCCTCAGGTAGAAAAGGAAATACCTTCACATACAAAGTAGACCGAAGTATTCTCAGAAACTCCATTGTGATGTGTGCACTCAACTCACAGAGTTGAACCTTCCTTTTGAGAGAGCAGTTTTGAAACAGTCTTTTTGTAACGTCTGCATGTGGATATTTGGAGCGATTCGAGTAGTATGATGGAAAAGGAAATATCTTCACATACAAACTAAACAGAAGCATTCTCAGAAACTTCTTGTGATGTGTGCATTCACCTAACAGAGTGGAACCGTTCTTTTGATAGAGCAGTTTTGAATCAGTCTTTTGGTAGGACCTGCAAGTTTTCATTTGGAGCGCTTTGAAGCCCATGGTGGAAAAGGGACTATCTTCACAAAAAACTAGGCAGAAGCCTTCTCAGGAACTTCATTGAGATGTGGATGTGTGCATTCAACTAACAGAGTTGAAACTGTCTTTTGACAGAGGAGGAATGAAACACTCCTTTTGTAGTATCTGATTGTGTATATTTGGAACTCTTTGAGTTATTCGTTGGAAACAGGTATCTTCACATAAAAAGTAGACCCAAGCATTCTCAGAAGGTTCTTTGTGATGTGTGCGTTCAACTCACAGACTTTAATCTTTCTTTTGATAGAGCAGTGTTGAAACACACGTTTTGTAGAAACCGCAAGTATTCATTTGGAGCGCTTTGTTGCCTATGTGGGAAAAAGGAATATCTTCACTTAAAAACTAGACAGAAGCATTCTCTGAAACTCCTCTGTGAAATGTGTGTTCAATTCACATCGTTGAACCTTTCTTTTGATAGAGCAGTGTTGAAACATACTTTTTGTAGAATCTGCAAGTGTCCATTTCGAGTTCTTTTGTGCGTATGTTGGAAAAAGTGATATCTTCACCTGAAAAATAGACAGAAGCATTCCAGAAACTGCTTTGCAACATGTGCATTCAACTCACAGTGTTGAACCTTCCTTTTGAGAGAGCGGTTTTGAAACAGTCTTTTTGTAGTATCTGCAAGTGGATATTTGCAGTGATTTGAGGCCGAAGAAGGAAAAGGAAATACCTTCAAATAAAAAACTAGACAGAAGCATTTTCAGAAACTTCCTTGTGATGTGTGCATTCAACTCACAGAGTTGAACCTTCCTTTTGAGAGAGAAGTTTTGAAACAGTCTTTTTGTAGTATTTGCAAGTGGATATTTGGAGCGATTTGTGGAGTATGGTGGAAAATGAAATATCTCCACATACAAACTAGACAGAAGCATTCTCAGAAACTGCTTTGTGATGTGTGCATTTAAGTCACAGACTTGAAACTTCCTTTAGGTAGAGCAGTGTTGAAACACACTTTTTGTATAATCTACAAGTGTTCTTTGGAGTGCTTTGTTGCCTATGTTGGAAAAAGAAATATCTTCACATAAAAACTAGACAGAAGCATTCTCAGAAACTCCTTTGTGATGGGTGTGTTCAATTCACATTGTTGAACCTTTCTTTTGATACAGCAGTGTTGAAACAAACATTTTGTAGAATCTGCAAGTGTTCATTTCAAATGCTTTGAGGCCTTTGTTGGAAAAAGTGTTATCTTCACCTAAAAAATAGACAGAAGCATTCTCAGGAACTGCTTTGTAATATGTGCATTCAACTCACAGAGTTGAACCTTCCTTTTGAGAGAGCGGTTTTGAAACAGTCTTTTTGTAGTATCTGCAAGTGGATATTTGGAGCGATTTGAGGTCTAAGAAGGAAAAGGAAGTACCTTCAAATAAAAACTAGACAGAAGCTTTCTCAGAAACTGCTTTGTGATGTGTGCATTTAACTCAAAGTCTTGATCCTTACTTTTGTTAGAGCAGTGTTGAAACACACTTTTTGTAGAACCTGGTAGTGTTCATTTGGAGAGATTTGTTGCCTATGGTGGAAAAAGGATTATCTTCTCTTAAAAACTAGACAGAAGCATTCTTAGAAACTGCTTTGTGATGTGTGTGTTCAATTCACAGAGTTGAAACTTTCCTTTGACAGAGCAGGTTTGAAACACTGCTTCTGTAGAATCTGCTTGTGGATATTGGGAGCTCCTTGAGGAATACGTTGTAAAAGGCATATCTTCACATTCAAACTAGACAGAAGCATTCTCAGAAACTCCGTTGTGATGTGTGCATTCAACTCACAGAGTTGAACCTTCCATTTGAGAGAGCAGTGTCGAAACAGTCTTTTTGTAGTATCTGCAAGTGGATATTTGGAGCGATTTGAGACCTATGATGGAAAAGGAAATATCTTCACATACAAACTAGACAGAAGCATTCTCAGAAACTGCTTTGTGATGTGTGCATTCAACCCACAGAGTTGAACCTTCCTTTTGAGAGAGCAGTGTTGAAACGGTCTTTTGTAGTATCTGCAAGTGGATATTTGGAGCGATTTGAGGCCTATGATGGAAAAGGAAATATCTTCACATACAAACTAGACAGAAGCAGTCTCAGGAACTGCTTTGTGATGTGTGCATTCAACTCACAGATTTGAACTTTCCTTTTGAGAGGGAGGTTTTGAAACAGTCTTTTTGTAGTATCTGCAAGTGGATATTTGTAGTGACTTGGGGCCTCAGATGGAAAAGGAAATACCTTCACATACAAAGTAGACAGAAGTATTCTCAGAAACTCCATTGTGAAGTGTGCACTCAACTCACAGAGTTGAACCTTCCTTTTGAGAGAGCAGTTTTGAAACAGTCTTTTTGTAATGTCTGCAAGTGGATATTTGGAGCGATTCGAGTACTATGATGGAAAAGGAAATATCTTCACATACAAACTAAACAGAAGCATTCTCAGAAACTTCTTGTGATGTGTGCATTCACCTAACAGAGTGGAACCGTTCTTTTGATAGAGCAGTTTTGAATCAGTCTTTTGGTAGGACCTGCAAGTTTTCATTTGGAGCGCTTTGAAGCCCATGGTGGAAAAGGGACTATCTTCACAAAAAACTAGGCAGAAACCTTCTCAGGAATTTCATTGAGATGTGTGCATTCAACCAACAGAGTTGAAACTGTCTTTTGACAGAGGAGGAATGAAAGAGTCCTTTTGTAGTATCTGATTGTGTATATTTGGAACTCTTTGAGTTATTAGTTGGAAACGGGTATCTTCACATAAAAAGTAGACCCAAGCATTCTCAGAAGGTCCTTTGTGATGTGTGCGTTCAACTCACAGACTTGAAACTTTCTTTTGATAGAGCAGTGTTGAAACACAGTTTTTGTAGAATCCACAAGTATTCATTTGGAGCGCTTTGTTGCCTATGTGGGAAAAAGGAATATCTTCACTTAAAAACTAGACAGATAAGCATTCTCTGAAACTCCTCTGTGAAGTGTGTGTTCAATTCACATCGTTGAACCTTTCTTTTGATGGAGCAGTGTTGAAACATACTTTTTGTAGAATCTGCAAGTGTCCATTTCGAGTTCTTTTGTGCGTATGTTGGAAAAAGTGATATCTTCACCTGAAAAATAGACAGAAGCATTCCAGAAACTGCTTTGTAACATGTGCATTCAACTCACAGTGTTGAACCTTCCTTTTGAGAGAGCGGTTTTGAAACAGTCTTTTTGTAGTATCTGCAAGTGGATATTTGCAGTGATTTGAGGCCGAAGAAGGAAAGGAAATACCTTCAAATAAAAAACTAGACGGAAGCATTTTCAGAAACTGCCTTGTGATGTGTGCATTCAACTCACAGAGTTGAACCTTCCTTTTGAGAGAGAAGTTTTGAAACAGTCTTTTTGTAGTATTTGCAAGTGGATATTTGGAGCGATTTGTGGAGTATGGTGGAAAATGAAATATCTTCACATACAAACTAGACAGAAGCATTCTCAGAAACTGCTTTGTGATGTGTGCATTTAAGTCACAGACTTGAAACTTCCTTTAGGTAGAGCAGTGTTGAAACACACTTTTTGTATAATCTACAAGTGTTCTTTGGAGTGCTTTGTTGCCTATGTTGGAAAAAGAAATATCTTCACATAAAAACTAGACAGAAGCATTCTCAGAAACTCCTTTGTAATGGGTTTGTTCAATTCACATTGTTGAACCTTTCTTTTGATACAGCAGTGTTGAAACAAACATTTTGTAGAATCTGCAAGGGTTCATTTCAAATGCTTTGTGGCCTATGTTGGAAAAAGTGATATCTTCACCTAAAAAATAGACAGAAGCATTCTCAGGAACTGCTTTGTAATATGTGCATTCAACTCACAGAGTTGAACCTTCCTTTTGAGAGAGCGGTTTTGAAACAGTCTTTTTGTAGTATCTGCAAGTGGATATTTGGAGCGATTTGAGGTCTAAGAAGGAAAAGGAAGTACCTTCAAATAAAAACTAGACAGAAGCTTTCTCAGAAACTGCTTTGTGATGTGTGCATTTAACTCAAAGTCTTGATCCTTACTTTTGTTAGAGCAGTGTTGAAACACACTTTTTGTAGAACCTGGTAGTGTTCATTTGGAGAGATTTGATGCCTATGGTGGAAAAAGGATTATCTTCTCTTAAAAACTAGTCAGAAGCATTCTTAGAAACTGCTTTGTGATGTGTGTGTTCAATTCACAGAGTTGAAACTTTCCTTTGACAGAGCAGGTTTGAAACACTGCTTCTGTAGAATCTGGTTGTGGATATTGGGAGCTCCTTGAGGAATACGTTGTAAAAGGCATATCTTCACATACAAACTAGACAGAAGTATTCTCAGAAACTCCATTGTGATGTGTGCACTCAACTCACAGAGTTGAACCTTCCTTTTGAGAGAGCAGTTTTGAAACAGTCTTTTTGTAATGTCTGCAAGTGGATATTTGTAGCGACTTGAGGCCTATGATGGAAAAGGGAATATCTTCACATAAAAATTGGACAGAAGCATTCTCAGAAACTGCTTTGTGATGTGTGCATTCAACCCACAGAGTTGAACCTTCCTTTTGAGAGAGCAGTGTTGAAACGGTCTTTTGTAGTATCTGCAAGTGGATATTTGGAGCGATTTGAAGCCTATGATGGAAAAGGAAATATCTTCACATACAAACTAGACAGAAGCAGTCTCAGGAACTGCTTTGTGATGTGTGCATTCAACTCACAGATTTGAACTTTCCTTTTGAGAGAGAGGTTTTGAAACAGACTTTTTGTAGTATCTGCAAGTGGATATTTGTAGTGATTTGGGGCCTAAGATGGAAAAGGAAATACCTTCACGTACAAACTAGACAGAAGTATTCTCAGAACCTCCATTGCGATGTGTGCACTCAACTCACAGAGTTGAACCTTCCTTTTGAGAGAGCAGTTTTGAAACAGTCTTTTTGTAACGTCTGCAGGTGGATATTTGGAGCGATTCGTGTAGTATGATGGAAAAGGAAATATCTTCACATACAAACTAAACAGAAGCATTCTCAGAAACTTCTTGTGATGTGTGCATTCACCTAACAGAGTGGAACCGTTCTTTTGATAGAGCAGTTTTGAATCAGTCTTTTGGTAGGACCTGCAAGTTTTCATTTGGAGCGCTTTGAAGCCCATGGTGGAAAAGGGACTATCTTCACAAAAAACTAGGCAGAAGCCTTCTCAGGAACTTCACTGAGATGTGTGCATTCAACTAACAGAGTTGAAACTGTCTTTTGACAGAGCAGGAATGAAACACTCCTTTTGTAGTATCTGATTGTGTGTATTTGGAACTCTTTGAGTTATTCGTTGGAAACGGGTATCTTCACATAAAAAGTAGACCCAAGCATTCTCAGAAGGTTCTTTGTGATGTGTGCGTTCAACTCACAGACTTGAAACTTTCTTTTGATAGAGCAGTGTTGAAACACACTTTTTGTAGAATCCACAAGTATTCGTTTGGAGCGTTTTGTTGCCTATGTGGGAAAAAGGAATATCTTCACTTAAAAACTAGACAGAAGCATTCTCTGAAACTCCTCTGTGAAGTGTGTGTTCAATTCACATCGTTGAACCTTTCTTTTGATAGAGCAGTGTTGAAACATACTTTTTGTAGAATCTGCAAGTGTCCATTTCGAGTTCTTTTGTGCGTATGTTGGAAAAAGTGATATCTTCACCTGAAAAATAGACAGAAGCATTCCAGAAACTGCTTTGTAACATGTGCATTCAACTCACAGTGTTGAACCTTCCTTTTGAGAGAGCGGTTTTGAAACAGTCTTTTTGTAGTATCTGCAAGTGGATATTTGCAGTGATTTGAGGCCGAAGAAGGAAAAGGAAATACCTTCAAATAAAAAACTAGACGGAAACATTTTCAGAAACTGCCTTGTGATGTGTGCATTCAACTCACAGAGTTGAACCTTCCTTTTGAGAGAGAAGTTTTGAAACAGTCTTTTTGTAGTATTTGCAAGTGGATATTTGGAGCGATTTGTGGAGTGTGGTGGAAAATGAAATATCTTCACATACAAACTAGACAGAAGCATTCTCAGAAACTGCTTTGTGATGTGTGCATTTAAGTCACAGACTTGAAACTTCCTTTAGGTAGAGCAGTGTTGAAACACACTTTTTGTATAATCTACAAGTGTTCTTTGGAGTGCTTTGTTGCCTATGTTGGAAAAAGAAATATCTTCACATAAAAACTAGACAGAAGCATTCTCAGAAACTCCTTTGTGATGGGTGTGTTCAATTCACATTGTTGAACATTGCTTTTGATACAGCAGTGTTGAAACAAACATTTTGTAGAATCTGCAAGTGTTCATTTCAAATGCTTTGTGGCCATGTTGGAAAAAGTGATATCTTCACCTAAAAAATAGACAGAAGCATTCTCAGGAACTGCTTTGTAATATGTGCATTCAACTCACAGAGTTGAACCTTCCTTTTGAGAGAGCGGTTTTGAAACAGTCTTTTTGTAGTACCTGCAAGTGGATATTGGGAGCGATTTGAGGTCTAAGAAGGAAAAGGAAATACCTTCAAATAAAAACTAGACAGAAGCTTTCTCAGAAACTGCTTTGTGATGTGTGCATTTAACTCAAAGTCTTGATCCTTTCTTTTGATAGAGCAGTGTTGAAACACACTTTTGGTAGAAACTGCTAGTGTTCATTTGGAGAGATTTGTTGCCTATGGTGGAAAAAGGATTATCTTCTCTTAAAAACTAGAGAGAAGCATTCTTAGAAACTGCTTTGTGATGTGTGTGTTCAATTCACAGAGTTGAAACTTTCCTTTGACAGAGCAGGTTTGAAACACTGCTTCTGTAGAATCTGCTTGTGGATATTGGGAGCTCCTTGAGGAATACGTTGTAAAAGGCATATCTTCACATACAAACTAAACAGAAGCATTCTCAGAAACTGCTTTGTGATGTGTGCATTCAACTCACAGAGTTGAACCTTCCATTTGAGAGAGTAGTGTTGAAACAGTCTTTTTGTAGTATCTTCAAGTGGAAATGTGGAGCGATTTGAGGCCTATGATGGAAAAGGAAATGTCTTCACATACAAACTAGACAGAAGCATTCTCAGAAACTGCTTCGTGATGTTTGCATTCAACCCACAGAGTTGAACCTTCCTTGTGAGAGAGCAGTGTTGAAACGGTCTTTTTTAGTATCTGCAAGTGGATATTTGGAGCGATTTGAGGCCTAGGATGGAAAAGGAAATATCTTCACATACAAACTAGACAGAAGCATTCTCAGAAACTGCTTTGTGATGTGTGCATTCAACCGACAGATTTGAACTTTCCTTTGGAGAGGGAGGTTTTGAAACAGTCTTTTAGTAGTATCTGCAAGTGGATATTTGTAGTGACTTGGGGCCTCTGGTGGAAAAGGAAATACCTTCACATACAAAGTAGACAGAAGTATTCTCAGAACCTCCATTGCGATGTGTGCACTCAACTCACAGAGTTGAACCTTCCTTTTGAGAGAGCAGTTTTGAAACAGTCTTTTTGTAACGTCTGCAGGTGGATATTTGGAGCGATTCGTGTAGTATGATGGAAAAGGAAATATCTTCACATACAAACTAAACAGAAGCATTCTCAGAAACTTCTTGTGATGTGTGCATTCACCTAACAGAGTGGAACCGTTCTTTTGATAGAGCAGTTTTGAATCAGTCTTTTGGTAGGACCTGCAAGTTTTTATTTGGAGCGCTTTGAAGCCCATGGTGGAAAAGGGACTATCTTCACAAAAAACTAAGCAGAAGCCTTCTCAGGAACTTCATTGAGATGTGTGCATTCAACTAACAGAGTTGAAACTGTCTTTTGACAGAGGAGGAATGAAACACTCCTTTTGTAGTATCTGATTGTGTATATTTGGAACTCTTTGAGTTATTCGTTGGAAACGGGTATCTTCACCTAAAAAGTAGACCCAAGCATTCTCAGAAGGTCCTTTGTGATGTGTGCGTTCAACTCAGAGACTTGAAACTTTCTTTTGATAGAGCAGTGTTGAAACACACTTTTTGTAGAATCCACAAGTATTCATTTGGAGCGCTTTGTTGCCTATGTGGGAAAAAGTAATATCTTCACTTAAAAACTAGACAGAAGCATTCTCTGAAACTCCTCTGTGAAGTGTGTGTTCAATTCACATCGTTGAACCTTTCTTTTGATGGAGCAGTGTTGAAACATACTTTTTGTAGAATCTGCAAGTGTCCATTTCGAGTTCTTTTGTGCGTATGTTGGAAAAAGTGATATCTTCAACTGAAAAATAGACAGAAGCATTCCAGAAACTGCTTTGTAACATGTGCATTCAACTCACAGTGTTGAACCTTCCTTTTGAGAGAGCGGTTTTGAAACAGTCTTTTTGTAGTATCTGCAAGTGGATATTTGCAGTGATTTGAGGCCGAAGAAGGAAAAGGAAATACCTTCAAATAAAAAACTAGACGGAAGCATTTTCAGAAACTGCCTTGTGATGTGTGCATTCAACTCACAGAGTTGAACCTTCCTTTTGAGAGAGAAGTTTTGAAACAGTCTTTTTGTAGTATTTGCAAGTGGATATTTGGAGCGATTTGTGGAGTATGGTGGAAAATGAAATATCTTCACATACAAACTAGACAGAAGCATTGTCAGAAACTGCTTTGTGATGTGTGCATTTAAGTCACAGACTTGAAACTTCCTTTAGGTAGAGCAGTGTTGAAACACACTTTTTGTATAATCTACAAGTGTTCTTTGGAGTGCTTTGTTGCCTATGTTGGAAAAAGAAATATCTTCACATAAAAACTAGACAGAAGCATTCTCAGAAACTCCTTTGTAATGGGTTTGTTCAATTCACATTGTTGAACCTTTCTTTTGATACAGCAGTGTTGAAACAAACATTTTGTAGAATCTGCAAGGGTTCATTTCAAATGCTTTGCGGCCTATGTTGGAAAAAGTGATATCTTCACCTAAAAAATAGACAGAGGCATTCTCAGGAACTGCTTTGTAATATGTGCATTCAACTCACAGAGTTGAACCTTCCTTTTGAGAGAGCGGTTTTGAAACAGTCTTTTTGTAGTATCTGCAAGTGGATATTTGGAGCGATTTGAGGTCTAAGAAGGAAAAGGAAGTACCTTCAAATAAAAACTAGACAGAAGCTTTCTCAGAAACAGCTTTGTGATGTGTGCATTTAACTCAAAGTCTTGATCCTTACTCTTGTTAGAGCAGTGTTGAAACACACTTTTTGTAGAACCTGGTAGTGTTCATTTGGAGAGATTTGTTGCCTATGGTGGAAAAAGGATTATCTTCTCTTAAAAACTAGACAGAAGCATTCTTAGAAACTGCTTTGTGATGTGTGTGTTCAATTCACAGAGTTGAAACTTTCCTTTGACAGAGCAGGTTTGAAACACTGCTTCTGTAGAATCTGCTTGTGGATATTGGGAGCTCCTTGAGGAATACGTTGTAAAAGGCATATCTTCACATACAAACTAGACAGAAGCATTCTCAGAAACTGCTTTGTGATGTGTGCATTCAACTCACAGAGTTGAACCTTCCATTTGAGAGAGCAGTGTTGAAACAGTCTTTTTGTAGTATCTTCAAGTGGATATTTGGAGCGATTTGAGGCCTATGATGGAAAAGGAAATATCTTCACATACAAACTAGACAGAAGCATTCTCAGAAACTGCTTTGTGATGTGTGCATTCAACCCACAGAGTTGAACCTTCCTTTTGAGAGAGCAGTGTTGAAACGGTCTTTTGTAGTATCTGCAAGTGGATATTTGGAGCGATTTGAGGCCTATGATGGAAAAGGAAATATCTTCACATACAAACTAGACAGAAGCATTCTCAGAAACTGCTTTGTGATGTGTGCATTCAACCGACAGATTTGAACTTTCCTTTGGAGAGGGAGGTTTTGAAACAGTCTTTTTGTAGTATCTGCAAGTGGATATTTGTAGTGACTTGGGGCCTCAGGTGGAAAAGGAAATACCTTCACATACAAAGTAGACAGAAGTATTCTCAGAAACTCCATTGTGATGTGTGCACTCAACTCACAGAGTTGAACCTTCCTTTTGAGAGAGCAGTTTTGAAACAGTCTTTTTGTAATGTCTGCAGGTGGATACTTGGAGCGATTCGAGTACTATGATGGAAAAGGAAATATCTTCACATACAAACTAAACAGAAGCATTCTCAGAAACTTCTTGTGATGTGTGCATTCACCTAACAGAGTGGAACCGTTCTTTTGATAGAGCAGTTTTGAATCAGTCTTTTGGTAGGACCTGCAAGTTTTCATTTGGAGCGCTTTGAAGCCCATGGTGGAAAAGGGACTATCTTCACAAAAAACTAGGCAGAAGCCTTCTCAGGAACTTCATTGGGATGTGTGCATTCAACTAACAGAGTTGAAACTGTCTTTTGACAGAGGAGGAGTGAAACACTCCTTTTGTAGTATCTGATTGTGTATATTTGGAACTCTTTGAGTTATTCGTTGGAAACGGGTATCTTCACATGAAAAGTAGACCCAAGCATTCTCAGAAGGTCCTTTGTGATGTGTGCGTTCAACTCACAGACTTGAAACTTTCTTTTGATAGAGCAGTGTTGAAACACAGTTTTTGTAGAATCCACAAGTATTCATTTGGAGCGCTTTGTTGCCTATGTGGGAAAAAGGAATATCTTCACTTAAAAACTAGACAGAAGCATTCTCTGAAACTCCTCTGTGAAGTGTGTGTTCAATTCACATCGTTGAACCTTTCTTTTGATAGAGCAGTGTTGAAACATACTTTTTGTAGAATCTGCAAGTGTCCATTTCGAGTTCTTTTGTGCGTATGCTGGAAAAAGTGATATCTTCACCTGAAAAATAGACAGAAGCATTCCAGAAACTGCTTTGTAACATGTGCATTCAACTCACAGTGTTGAACCTTCCTTTTGAGAGAGCGGTTTTGAAACAGTCTTTTTGAAGTATCTGCAAGTGGATATTTGCAGTGATTTGAGGCCGAAGAAGGAAAAGGAAATACCTTCAAATAAAAAACTAGACGGAAGCATTTTCAGAAACTGCCTTGTGATGTGTGCATTCAACTCACAGAGTTGAACCTTCCTTTTGAGAGAGAAGTTTTGAAACAGTCTTTTTGTAGTATTTGCAAGTGGATATTTGGAGCGATTTGTGGAGTATGGTGATAAATGAAATATCTTCACATACAAACTAGACAGAAGCATTCTCAGAAACTGCTTTGTGATGTGTGCATTTAAGTCACAGACTTGAAACTTCCTTTAGGTAGAGCAGTGTTGAAACACACTTTTTGTATAATCTACAAGTGTTCTTTGGAGTGCTTTGTTGCCTATGTTGGAAAAAGAAATATCTTCACATAAAAACTAGACAGAAGCATTCTCAGAAACTCCTTTGTGATGGGTGTGTTCAATTCACATTGTTGAACCTTTCTTTTGATACAGCAGTGTTGAAACAAACATTTTGTAGAATCTGCAAGTGTTCATTTCAAATGCTTTGTGGCCTATGTTGGAAAAAGTGATATCTTCACCTAAAAAATAGACAGAAGCATTCTCAGGAACTGCTTTGTAATATGTGCATTCAACTCACAGAGTTGAACCTTCCTTTTGAGAGAGCGGTTTTGAAACAGTCTTTTTGTAGTATCTGCAAGTGGATATTTGGAGAGATTTGAGGTCTAAGAAGGAAAAGGAAGTACCTTCAAATAAAAACTAGACAGAAGCTTTCTCAGAAACTGCTTTGTGATGTGTGCATTTAACTCAACGTCTTGATCCTTACTTTTGTTAGAGCAGTGTTGAAACACACTTTTTGTAGAACCTGGTAGTGTTCATTTGGAGAGATTTGTTGCCTATGGTGGAAAAAGGATTATCTTCTCTTAAAAACTAGACAGAAGCATTCTTAGAAACTGCTTTGTGATGTGTGTGTTCAATTCACAGAGTTGAAACTTTCCTTTGACAGAGCAGGTTTGAAACACTGCTTCTGTAGAATCTGCTTGTGGATATTGGGAGCTCCTTGAAGAATACGTTGTAAAAGGCATATCTTCACATACAAACTAGACAGA